>NC_000006.12:92907648-93058586 GCF_000001405.40 Homo sapiens | reverse complement strand
TTTAATCAATTTGAATGGGTACTTATTAACAAGACTTTAAAAATTCTTTGATGCAACTATTTCATGTCCAAAAACATATTCTATGAAAGTGATTTATGTGCTGGATTCCTTATTGTAACTCTATTTTCAGTAGCAAAATAAGGTAAATATCCTTATTATCCAACAATAATAACTTAGTTTAGGAAGCATGGCACAGACTATACAATAATTTAGAATAATATAGGTAAGTATATCAGTGTAATGCTAAATAAAAAATAGTGCACATAAAATGTGTATCATGGGAGGCCGTGAAAAAGCACATAGAAAGATATAAACAGGATTTGTAGAAAATAGTAACTTTTTATCTCTGGGATATGATATTCTATGTAATTACTTTTTTTCCATGAAAAACATCACTGTGGTAAGCAAACAGCAAAAAATAAAACAGTACTTGTCACAGAACTTGCTGCCTGTCTGTATATGTGTTTATTTCTGTAAAGATATAACAAACTTTTTCCAAAACCCATTTTCTTAGTTATGCTGAAGATAAAAGAGGAAACAAGGGTCAATATAAATCTTCAGAACTATTTCACACCTCCCAATCCCTCACATCCCTGCAGGAATATTGACCACATTTTTGAAGCACTCTGCCATGGTTTTTTCAAAACTAAAATTTCCCAGCTATGTCCCTTTTTTCATTAACTACTTTCTTCTTGTTTTTTCTCTTTCTGCATTCTCTTTGTTTTTTTCTCTGCTCTTCATTCTATCCTTTCTTTCTTTTTTTCTCTTCTCTCTATCCTCTTCCTATTTTTTCTGTTTTCTTCCTTTCTCTATTTCCCTTCCCATCCCTCTTTTCCTTCCTTCCTTCTTCTTTCCTTCCTTCTTTTTTCTCCCTCCATTTGTTAATTTCTCCCCTTCTCTTATTTCTTCTTTTTCTTCATTTCTCCTTCCTTCCTTCCTCACTTCCTTCCTTTCCTTCTTTTTCTCTTTTTACTTTATTCACTCTTTGTCCACTTTTACAAACTGTAAACATAACTACCATATATAAATATTTAATTTGTTTTGCTATGTGAAATTTTACTGCAATTTTATCTTCCTAGAAAGTCTGACATTTTTATATCACCCACAGCTTATAGGTTAGGGAGATGAGAATCAGAGAGAATAAATAACTTACCAAAGTTAAGCTAGTAAATATGAATAAGAATTTGAATTCATCTTCTCTCTTTTATAGTTTGAATATATGTCCCCACCCAAATGTCATGTTAAATTTTAATCCCCAGTATTGCAGGTGGGGTTTGGTGGGAGGTGACTGAATCATGTGGGTGGATTTCTCGTGAATGGTTTAGCACCATTCTCTTGATGCCGTCCTCACCATAGTGAGTTCTCATGAGACCTGCTTGTTTAAAAGTGTGTGGCACTTTTACTCTTTCTCTTGTTCCTACTTTTTCCACGTGATATGTCTGTTCCTCTTTGTCTTCTGCTGTGATTGGAGGGCTCCCCAGAAACAGGTGCTGCTATGCTTTCTGTACAGCCTGCAGAACCATGAACCAATTAAACCTCTTTTCTTACAAATTACCTAGTCTTAAGTATTCCTTTATAGCAGTGCAAGAACAGCCTAACACACTCTCCAACTTTATTATCAGTATTCTGTCCATTTCCACACTCTTCTCCACACAGCTTCCTTCTTGCTTATTAAATATTATGTATCTCAGAGCTGAGCCTTGACCTAATTCTCTCATCCTATTGTTTTTCTCGCATAACCAATTTATTCTCTCTCTCTTTTTAAGAGACTGTGTCTCACTCTGTCACCCAGGCTGGAGTTCAGTGGTGCAATCATAGCCCATTGCAGCCTTGAACTCCTGGATGCAAACATCCTCCTGCCTCAGCCTTCCAAGTAGCTGGGATTACAGGAGCAAGCTACCATTCTTGGCTCTTATTTATTTTCACGGACTCAGCAACTGTCATGGAATCTTAAATCTATATGGCCCCTCTTGAGCTATCTCTAGAACTCTAGTGTTATGATTTAATTTTTAGATAGTAGATAGCTAACATATGTTGTCATTTGATGTGTGGTAATCATTGTTATCAAATGAAGCCTTAAGTCATTAATGCATTTAATGCTCATAACACTACAAACAAGTTCTGTACTCGCACGTTTTACTGATAAGGAAATTGAGGATCATAAATGTAAATTACCCAAAGACACAAAGTTTGATATTTCTTCTTGGATAGACCTACCTTCATCAATAACAATGCCTAAGGGTTCCCTTACCTCTAGACTTTCTGGCAAAGGAGAAAGAACTTATTAGGAATTACTGTCTGATGCCATAATTTAAAAGATAATATATATTTGCATTACCTACACATTTATATCCATCCAAGTCTAAATAGTTGACATTGAATTTTGATATCTGTTTGATGCTGCAAACCAATAGGTTCCAGAACTGAAAATATTTAGAGGGTCTCTGAGACCATTTATAAGATTTTCCTCTTGAACCTCCTTATGTCATTAGACTATGCGAGCTCTTACCTCACATAGACTATGTGAGCTCTTACAAAGTCTAATGTGCACTGGATGTTTAATTCTTAATTTAAGGTTCTTATTAATGATCACAGACAACTTTGATTCTGTCATTCTAATGCTAGACACCGTGCTAGGTACCAGGAGAACAAGAAATGTGAAAGAAAAGAGATAATCCAAATAAACACAATTTAAAATGAAAAAGGAGATATTACAACTCATACCACAGAAATACAGAAGATCATCAGAAACTATTGTGAACAATTACATAGCCACAAATGAAAAAATCTAGAGGAAACTGATAAATTGCTGGAAACACACAATCTACCAAAGTTGAACCAGGAAAAATAGAACTCCCAAACAGACCAATAATGGGTAGCGAGATTGAATCAGCAACAAAAAAAACCTCCCGATAAAAAAAGCACAGGACCAGATAAATTCACAGACAAATTGTACCAAACATACAAAGAAGAACTAATATCAATCCTCCTGAAACTATCCCCCGAAAAAAACGAGGAAGAAGAAATTCTCCCTAACTCATTCCGTGAAACAAGTATTACCCTGATACCAAAACCAGACAAGAACACAACCAAAAGAAAAAACTACAAATCAATATCTCTGACGAACATAGATGCAAAAATCCTTAACAAAATATTAGCAAATCAAATCTAATAACACATCAAAAAGATGATAAGCCATGATCAGGTGGAATTTATCCCAGGGTTCAAGGATGGTTCAACATATGCAAATCAATAAACGTGATGTATCACATAAACAGAATTAAGGACAAAAACCATGTGATCATCTCAATAAAAGCAGAAAAAACACACAATAAAATTCAGGATCCCTCCAAATGAAAATCCTGAATAAAATAGGCATAGAAGAAACATACTTCAACATAATAAAGGCCATATATGATAAATCCACAGTCAACATCATACTCAATGGGGGAAAGTTGAAAGCATTCCTCCTGACAATCAGAACAAGACAAGGATGTCCACTTTCACCACTCTTATTCAGTCTAGTACTGGAAGTTTTTGCCAGAACAATCGAGCAAGAGAAAGGCATCCAAATTGAAAAAGAGGAAATCAAATTATCCCTGTTAATAGATGATATGATTTTATATCTGGAAAATTATAGCAATTCCACTAAAAACTTCTTAGATTTGATAAATAAATTCAATAAACTTTCAGAATACAGAATTAACATGCAGAAGAATCAATAATGTTTCTATACACCAGTATGGATCTAGCCAGAGCCAAATCAAGAAGGCAATCACATTTCCAATAGCTACAAAAAAAAAAAAAAACAAACCAAAACAAAAAACAACAACCTAGGAATATATTTAACCAAGACAGTTAAAGGTCTCTATAAGGAGAACTACAAAACACCGATAAAAGAAATCATAGATGACACAAACAAATAGAAAACCATCACATGCTCATGGATTTGAAGAGTCAATGTCATTAAAATGATCATATTGCCTACCCAAAGCAATCTACAGATTCTACTTAACTCCCATCAAATTAGCAACGCCATTTTTCAAGGAATTAGAATAAACATGCTGAAATTTATATGGAGTGAAGAAAGAGCCCAAATAGCCAAGGCAATCATAAGCAAAAAGAACAAAGCTGGAGGCATCGTATTACTTGACTTTGAACTATACTGCAATGCTATAGTAAGCAAAACAGCGTTGTATGGATAAAAAAAAATAGACACATAGATCAATGGAACAGAACAGATAATGCAGAAATAAAGCCACATACCTACAACCAACTGATTTTTGAGAAAGTCAACAAAAATGTACACTGATGAAATGACACTCTATTCAATACATGCTTCAGGGAAAATGGGATAGCCACATGCAGAAGGCTATCCCATTGGACCCATACCTCTCACCACACACAAAAATTAACTCAAGATGGATTAAAAACCGAAACATAAGACCTGAAACTATAAAAATACTAGAAGATAGCCTAGGAGAAACTCTTCTGGACAATGGCTTAGGCAAGAATTCATGACCAAGCTCTCAAAACCAAATGCAACAAAAACAAAAATAGAAAAACGGGACTTAATTAAACTAAAAAGCTTCTGCATAGCAAAAGAAACAATCAACAGAGTAAACAGAAAACCTATAGAATGGGAAAAAATATTTGCCAACAATGCATTCAGCAAAGGCCCAATATTCAGAATCTATAAGGAACTCAAATAACAACAACAAAAACCCTCAAACAAACACATTAAAAAGTGGACAAAGGACAAGAGCAGATGTTTTTCAAAAGAAGATATACAAGCAGTCAAGAAACATATGAAAAAATGCCCAATATCACTAATCATCAGAGAAATGCAGGCCAGGCGCTGTGGCTCACGCCTGTAATCCCAGCACTTTGAGAGGCTGAGGTGAGTGGATCACTTGAGGTCAGGAATTCGAGACCAACCAGGCCAACATGGCGAAACCCTGTCTCTACTGAAAATACAAAAATTAGCCGGGCATGGTGGTAGGTGCCTGTAATTCCCAGCTTCTTGGGAGGCTGAGGCAGGATCATTACTTGAACCTGGGAGGCGGAGGTTGCAGTGAGCTGAGATGGCACCACTGCATTCCAGCCTGGGTAACAGAGCAAGACTCTGTCTCAAAAAAAAAAAAAAAAAAAAATGCAAATTAAAACCACAATGAGATACCATCTTAAACAAGTCAGAATGGCTATTATTAAAAAGTCTAAAAATATCCCATATTGGCCAGAATATCGAGTAAAGGGAACGCTGCACACTGTTGGTAGGAATGTAAATTAGTACAACCTTTATAGGAAACGGTATGGAGATTCCACAAAGAACAGGTAACTACACTTACCTGTTCATCACAGCACTAGTCACAATAGCAAAGTTATAGAATTAATCTGTGTCCATCAACAGAGGGCTGGATAAAGAAAATATGGTGTATATATACCATGAAATACTACTCAGCCATAGAAAAGAATAAAATCATGTCTTTTGCAGCAACATGGATGAAACTGGAGGCCATTATTTTAAGTGAAATAACTCAGAAACTGAAAGTTCAATGCTGAGTGTTCTCACGTATACAGGGGAGCTAAACAATGGGTACACATGGACGTACAGAATGGAATAATAGACATTGGAGACTACAAAACGTGGGAGAGTGGGAGGGTCTTGAGGGCTGAAAAATTACCTATTGGATACAATGTCCACTACTCGGGTGATGGGGACACTAAAAGCCCAGGCTTCACCATAATGCAATATATGTGTGTAAGAAATCTGCACTTTTACTCACTAGATATATAAAAATAAAAAATAACTTTTAAAAAAAGCTGAGAAAGAATGGACATACTGAAAAAAAAAAGTTTCCCAATCTCATGGAGCTTCAATTTATAAAGATCATTACACTTTTACTCTTCTACCAATTTCTTCTACCCAAAATCAGACAGGAAAATTCTTGTGTTACTTTTACATTCACTAACAAACCTGAGTTATAGCCTCTGACTCCTAGGATGTGGCCCTTTAAGCAACCATAACTCACTTCATAGAATATGTTCATTTATATGTAGTTAATTAAATTATGTTTTTGTGTATATTATGGGATTTTCTATTTTACCTACGTTTTTTAGTCATTTTTCCTAAAAATATGTATTGCCCGTAAAATACTTTATCCAAATATCTCCTCAAATTCTAATGATTGATGGTGACTATGGGAAACTTTCTTTTCTGTTTCTATTAACACTTGTTCAGTAAATTGTTAATAAGCAATTTGAGAAAAGTCATTAGCCATTTATTTGGATAATTATAATTTTATTTAGGATAATATTTGAAGAGGCCATCATTTTTTCCAGTAACATGAACAGATCAGTAGCTCAGGCTAAGGACTATTTCCTCTATTTTCATATTTTGCAAACATGTTATTCTCCTCATTAAGGATTAATAGGCCCCTTTAATATCTTAGAAGAAGTGGGCCACTGTCAGAAACAAATGAGAAGAGCCAGATTTTGATGGTTTATGTTTGTGTGTGTGTGTATGTTTATTTGTTGTTCATTTAGTTTCAGGAAGAACAGACACTATTCTTTATTATTAACTGATGAATATTTTGATCCAACATAAATCATTGATTCATCCATTAAAAAGTAGTTGTGTTTACTAGATAATGCTCTCAAATCAAATGAATATTGAATATCACTACAGAACAGAAACTTGTCATTGATAGGCCTTCTATTTGGATATAGACAATGAACAATGCCTTATTATAAACTGCTTTTTAAGTCAGATTGAGAAAAAATAAGACAAAAATCACATTAAAAATGCCAACAAAGGTAGTTATTTACAGTGCATTTTAATGCCTTATGTCCCAAGTAAGTGTTTTTCCTTTCTTTTCTTTTTCCCTTTATTTCAATAGTATTGTGACTGAAGTAGTGTATTTCAGTTAAAAGACAAATAATAGTTTTAGTGAGCATTTGTATTTTAAAACTTGTGCCTAAAAAAATAAGTTCATTGGAGTTTCTCTCTAACCTAATCCTCAGGGCCAATTCTATGGGATTTTTTTTAATAGGTAAAAGACTGAGTAAAATAAATAAGCCATTGTCCCTCCATTCGCCTTTCTCAAAACTTGATGGAAATACAGGTGTTGGGGAAGGGGAAACAAAGAAGGTTAAAATTATAGCCTTTGTGAGGAACAAAGATAAGCTTTGTTGCACTGGTTTAAAATACAGGAATTTTTTTTTTGAACATATAAAAATGGCAAAACGTTGTAGAAATATTTTCTAACCATATAACTGGTGAGTATGAAATAAGCTGATATGTGATTTTTTATCTGTTCCTCAGATATAAGAATCATTTATTTTATGGTTATCAATATAAAATAGAAATTGCCCTGCAAGTCCTTTAAAATGAATACCAAGAAACCAGCATTTTTGAGTATCATTACCAAACAAATCATTTAAAAATGTAATGGAATAAACATTCTATTATGTCAATCTATCGCATGTTAAGTTAGAAGGGAGAACCTGTATTTTCTTTGGCAGGAAATAGTTGGAGGTTGATAAAATATGTATTGCAATACATCTTTGCTGCTTGTATTTTCTGTATGTATGGAGTGACACCTACAAAAAACTGATCCAGCTTTATATTCTCCATGTAAAATTCCATTTGAAGGGAAGATAAGCAATGCAATAGAATAGTATATAAATTGTTTTCAGGTCAAATATCTGATTTCCTTAGGCCCATTCTGTTTTTTTTTGTTTGTTTGTTTTTTTTTTTTTACTTTGGTTATTTGAATATTTGTTAATGGCTTCATATGAGTGTGTTTTGTACTGTACTCCATTTGGACCTTTGGGGATCTCAGGATCAAAGCATTGCCTATGAGAAAATCTGAATATCAGCAGTGCCTATATTTTAGATGTTATATATATATGTATATGTATATATGTATGTGTATAAATATCATATATAAATATATATGTTCATATACTTTCATGTGTTTCAACACATCAGTCTTCCAAAAATAGTAAAACAATTTCTAACAACAGTCCCCCATAACAAACGTATTTCAAGTACTGAGCAAATTAAAAAAATTCATCAGCTGTCATCAATAATGCTGTGTCCCTGTGACTCCAGTCCAGCAGCAGTAGCCGATCTTTCAAATGTTTTTGAAAAGTATTTGAAGGTAAATTGTGCAACTGGAAGACACAAGTTTATCTTCAGATTTTAACCTGGTCCATTTTAGATTTCAACTTTTTCAGAGAAAAATATTAATGAAGTAATTTCTTGCTTTGTGGTGCATATGGGTAGAGGAATGCCTAATCCAAGTGTACTCTGGCAAGCCAAATACATAAATTTAAGTGAAGGAGAGACTCTAGGATTAAAGTGTGGTATATATAAAGACATTTTTCCTTTTCAAAGTTTGCCCTGTAATTAAGAAACATAATTTGTTTCTTTTTTATTCCTGTTTTAGTTTTCTTTTGTTTTTGTTCCTTTGAAGTTGTTGATTTCCACTTTGGAAACTGCGGAAGAATAAAACTGGTTTTAGTTAAACATGGAAAATTGTTTTGTAGGTAACTTCTAATATATAGGCATTTCTGTTTATATATCCATAAGATCAAGGTTTCTTGGTTTCTTTATTTTACCATATTGATATTATAAGTGTTTTAAAAAACAATTCTGTCTTTTAGAGAAAGCAGATTTCTTTTTAGTCATATTTTCTAAATTTGTCATGCATGCAAAGAAATGTCAAAAGAAAAATAAAAGTTGCATTAAGAACCTTTTTCTTATTTTTGATAAACTATTTGAGCCATTTGTTTTACATTTTTGTGTAAGACATTCCTTTAGGGTTAAATTAGCTTTGAAAGGGCGTGTCTAATCATAAAGGCAACCTGCAATTAGGAATTTTATTTGCACTCCTTTGACCTTTACTTTATATTAGTCGGTTCTGTTTTCTTGACTTTGTGCCTCAGCCATTTTACTAGCTCTATGACCATGTGAAAGTTAATAAACACTTCCAAGCTTCAGTTTCCAGTTTCCTCAGCTGTAAAAAAGAGATAAAATTATGATATCATGCATGTAGGAATATAAACATGATAAATTCCATATGTGTATGTGCAACATGATAAATTCCATATGTGTAAATTCCATATGTGTATATGTATATACATATAAATGCATATCATGCATATATGTGCATATATGTATATATGCATACATATAAATGCACATGTATATATAGTATATATATACACATTATATATATAGTATATGTGTGTGTGTGTATATATACATATAAGCCTCTTGTTCATTTAGACCTCGTAAGTCAAAAGTGGAACCAAATATACTTACTGAGGAAAAGCTGAAAGTTTTATACTACTAATATGAGGTCATATAAGCTCCAATATATAGGCATGCATATAGTATATATATGTGAGTATGTGAATATAGGTATATATATATATATACACACACACACACACACAAATAGTGTGTATTTGTGTGCATATATAGTGTCATTATAATTCATTAATTTTTCTCATAGTCTTGTCTCCAATCTTTTAATTACTATGATTAATAAGTATTTTAATTAAATAATTAATAAAATGCTCCAAATATGTCAGACTAAATGTCTACTTCCCCTTTATTGAGAGAAGGAACATGACTGTTGGTGCTGAACTGGGGATTTCAGTTTTAAAAGATTTTTCTAGGAATTTGAAATTATAACGAATTTTGATCTGTTTGAATAGAAAAGAAAACCTAGTTCTTTTGTAGAGAACTAAAACCTTCAAGTTTGTGTAGACTTTTTCTTTTATTTTTCTTCTTTTTTTTTTTTTACAAATTGAAAGGACAGCATGGAAATAGAGATGAAAATCAGATTTTTTTTTTGAAATCAGAAGATGGGAAATAGTAAGGATCCTGTTAGATTGTCATTTAAAATTGAATTACATTCTCATTTAAATAGAGAAAGCTTAGAAAGTAGCCTATAGGAATTCCCCCTAAGGCTGAAGCCAGACATTCTTTGCTGATTTAGGCCCTTAATTAGGCATAAACTAATCATGCTGTGAGCTCTAGAGACAAGATGACACATAATTGTTAGTGCTAATTTCTTAATTGTTAGAAAGTGATACTTCAGTACATGCTTCATCCAACAAGAATGATCTGTAGTCTGGCATCTCCTCTCTCCATGTGTCAACAATTTACACTTATATGAAAGAAAGAATACTTAACAATACACTTAATTCTGTTTATAGTGTCCTCAAAACAAATTTCATTTTAAAATATAACCCCCTTTCACTAATGGAAAGATTGATGTGGCTCTTCAGTACTGAAAATGGGAAATTCAGTCAACATGTATAAAACTATTTTTTATATTAAATCACCAGTGCTAAATTATCCAGTGGCAAGTCCAAATGGCATCGAAGGACAAAAATGTCTGTTGGATACATCAACCTTCTAAATTTGTTCTGTACTTACATAGTCTCAAAGATAAAAATTGGAATAATAATTACAATTCGTATTAATTCATATTTATTTTATGCTGTGACTTTAGTTGAGGTCAAGAAATCAAATTCATAGTATAGATCTGTATTTCCTTCTTTTGCAAAAGAGCTAGATTTCAAGGGGGTATGGTCATTATAATAAGTTTACTTGCATTTACTTGAATAAGTAATAAAAAATGTGGGGTTAAAATTTCTTGGAAATGACAGTTAAGAAAAGGAACACAATAAGGGGAACAAAAACAAGAATGTCGGGTTTTCTTGTTGGTTAACAAACAATGAGGCCTTTCTCATAGGAACCAAGCAAGAAATAGTTCTTTTGCCTCTGGTTCATTTAGACCTCATAAGTCGAAGGTAGAACCAAATATATTTACTGAAGAGAAGCTGAAAGTTTTATACTACCAATATAAGCTCCAATATATAGGAATGCATTTTCTTCCCTTCTTTATTCTCTCCTCTTCTTGTGCCACTGAATGGACTTCAAAGGAAGAAAAGAAAAGAGCATAGCACAAAGTAGATTTGTATGTTATTCTAAAATTAAAAAGAAAAAACAAAATTTAAGGCAATGTTATTAGTAAATTTTAGTACATTATTGTTTGCAAATATTAAAATTATTGCAGTTTTCTTTTCAAAATTGATTTTAGTGAGTTTTTTCTTATGCTATCAGGATAAGTGTGCATACATTTTGTGATATACTAATGTTAGAGTGCACATTGAGAATTATAACAGCATGCATTTTAAAAGTCCTGGGAAAAATAATTTCAACTCAGCTTTCAGTCCCCAAGAAAGCCTGAGCACAGCTTATGCTCCCAGGACTGGGGATGCAGAGAGGATTGTTTCTGTGCTGCCACCAGAGGCCGACGGTATAGTGAGAAGGCTCTTCTCCAGGGCGAATAAAGGTATGGGTCCAGCAAGACCTATGGGTGGTGGGGGAGCAATGGATAAAGGAGGGGCACTTGTCTTCAGATGTCTGTCTTTGCTGAAAGCACAGCTCTGAATGTCCTCACAATGTGTTCTACCCTTTTCCTAACCTTCTAACAATGAACTGTGTACATGAAAATATGTTAATTTCAATATCTATATTTATTACCATTCTAATAAATTACCACTGATTCATAATTTTTTATTAGAAAGTTTATAATTTCATTCTTGACAGAAGTCCAGTGTAAAGCTATTTTAACTGAACAGTCTTACAGTATTGACACATATGAATGCACTCTAATTTGATCCCAATTTATATTTTCAAAAACATAGTATCCTGGTCGGGCGTGGTGGCTCACGCCTATAATCCCAGCACTTTGGGAGGCCGAGGCAGGCGGATCATGAGGTCAGGAGATCGAGACCATCCTGGCTAACAAGGTGAAACCCCGTCTCTACTAAAAATACAAAAAATTAGCCAGACGTGGTGGCATGCGCCTGTAGTCCTAGCTACTCAGGAGGCTGAGGCAGGAGAATCTCTTGAACCTGGGACTCTGAGGTTGCAATGAGCCGAGACTGCACCACTGTACTCTAGCCTGGGCGACAGAGCAAGAATCCATAAACAAACAAACAAACAAACAAACAAACAAAAACACCCATCATAACCTCTCCTTTATATTTATTTTTTAAAGGTCAAATACTCTTTGAATATACCAGTGATAATGTTTGAGATGATGAGTCTTTCTAAAATGCATAATTAGATATGTATGTAGGTAGCTCTTACACTTTGAAAGGAAACTAATCTGTCCTTAATTTCCATAAGTTCTTGAAAGTATTTATAAACATTAGTAATATTTGTAATGCCAAGTGAAATGAAATATGCCAGATTGTAGCCGTAGTATTAGATCAACAAATCCTAGCTATCTAATCAAACATATTCCTATCTGATAAAATTAATAAACCAGATAAATTAATGGAGTTAAAGCGTAAACACTGTGAAAGTCTAGGTATAAACAACAAAATGTGTTTCTGGAAGAGTAGCTACAGAAAAACTTAGATGTAATTAGGTAAAATACATTTATAGTTTTAAATAGCATGGTGTGTCATATACTAATACCCTATAGAACTTGAACCCTCATTATGAATAATATTTATAATAAATATAGAAATGATATCACAAGATTTTTCTCTCCAAAATAGGTGAATGTAGTGTGTGTGCATGTGTGTGTGTGTATGCCTACTATAACTTATAACAAGTTCATTCAGGTTTTATAAATAAAGCAATAATGTACATAATAATGATTTGCAAATATGTATTAGTTGTGTATTTATGCAAAACTCATTACTAAGTTTCCGTTTATTGGAGCCACTTTTAGCACTACATAATTAACTCTACTAACCAACTAATTCAACTAAAATGAGATCTGGAAAAATCATCCTTGCATAGCTTTAGAATCTGATTTTTGAAACTACAGCAAATGTAACTCCTATTTACATTATTTTACAAATCACAGCACTGTTCAATTGCATTATTAACCTTTATATATTTGATTTTAAATCTATTTGATTTTAAATTTAAAATCTATTATTCCATTAATTGTTGACTGGCTTCAAAATTAGCCAAACGAAACCCAGCTATTATTTTACCTTAAGGACCCAGAGTTGCACTGGCTAGTGGAGCAAATTATAATAACTACAAGCTTTCTAGAGAAGCCATTTTAATTCAGTTTGTTTATACTTAACAAACATTTCTTGAACAGACCAGGGCCTGCAAGCTGCTAAAAGAATAAAGATGGGTCTGTTTTAATCCTTATCTGTAAACATGTTTGAAACAGTACTGTCAAAAGGAAAGTATGATGCTGGAGGACTGTTAAAAAGTGCAGCTGTTTTCTGCCTCTGGAAGTGAAGACTGGGCTTTAACTTTGAGACAAAGCCCTTTCTGCAAGATAAACAAAATCGTCAAGCCCTTTTATTCATCTAGGTGTAAAACAAACACCTACTCATTTTTCCTAAGGTTCTTCCCCAGTGCAGATGGTGAGAAATAAGTTATATGTTCAATTTCATGGGGAGGATTGGGTGCTTCAGAAGTTTCGAATAATTTTCCTTTCTTACATTTGTCATTAGAATCCCCCGCTCCCGCCCAAAGCCTGAAGATAACTAATTATTCTTAGTATATACTTTTAACTTTTTGTCATCAGTTGTTACAATGATCGGAAGCTAAGACCAATCATATCAGTGAGGGTCAAACTTCTTTTATCTCATCCTTTACAGAAGCTGAAGAAAAGACAATTGTCTTGGTTTGGGTTCCCTTTGAAAAAGATGCTGAGAAAAAGTTTTGAATGCAAGTACATAGTTTATTTGGGAAACCAAGCTAAGTCTGAGAAACACCAGAAGGAGATAAAGACATGGGACATGGAAGGGAAAAAAACAAGAGGGTGCATATTGGAGCCAGTTACCAAAGAGGGCAACTGGAGCTCAATCCTGTTGGCAAACTCTGGGAAACACTATAGAAGATACCTTAGAGGTACTCTCGGAAAGAGAAGCTGAGATGTTTATCCTTAACATTGAGTCCCTTATTTGTTGAGGGCAGATTTAGGAAATATTAATTCTTGGCACTTCTGGTATAACCTCTGTAGGAGTCAAATAAGAAGAGCAAGAAAAAAAAAAAGCCTTCAGACCAAGAGGATCACAGTATACACAGCAAGCAGCCTTAGATATAGATGTATATTAAAGAAAACACGAAGACTCAAGAGACCAAGGATTGAATGCTGAGTGGGAAAGAATTTTGTTTTTACTGCCAAGCAGGCACCTCAATCTAACACAGAGTTTAGGAAGGCTCCTGGAGTGAGGAAATTGGGTAGAAGACAGTAGTGGGACTTAAACCCAAAAGACTTTCTAGAGAAGCTGTTTCAATTCAATTTGATTATACGTAAACATTTCTTGAACAGACCAGGGCCTGCAACAAGCTAGAAGAATAAAGATGGGTTCATTTTAATCCTTATCTGTAAACATGTTTGAAACAGTAGTGTCAAAAGGACCCACATCAGGAAAGGAAAATCTCTGAATCTTTCTGAGGAGCTGACGGTATCTGAGTTTGTTTGTTATTTAAGCTCTGAGTTAGCTGAAGATGATCTGCTGTGTATGTGCTATGCTTCATTTGAGATAATAGTGTCCAGGGGCTTCTCCTTTGTACCTAAGGCCCCCATCTGAGGATTCTGGAACTTGCTGACTCTGCTTTGTGTGTGACATGCTGGTGTTGGGATTATGTTTCCAGTTAGGTTGGCCCAAGTATCAGCAGACTTGAGTGGCCCATGCAGGGTTTATCAGGTCAGTGCCAGGAGAGAAAATAATACCAGTTTTGAGAATTATTATATTAATTTTAGGCAGCATCTGGGGAATCAGACAAATTCTCAATGATAGGAAAAAATGAGTAAGTATTTGCTCTACAGTTAACTAACGGGGCTTAACATTTTTTTTTTTTATCTTGCAGAAATAAGAATATGGCAATTGGACTTGAAGGAAAATGGTGTCTCTACAATTAATCATCATGGGATTTGGAAAGAGAAAACTAAGTGAGTTTTCCTTAGTCCTAATTATATGAGTTCTAGAAATTAAATGTTGTAATGATAATGAAAGGTCTGTCCATGTTGTACAACTACAAGATGTAACAGAGGTAACTACTTATACATAGAGACAGATTTACCAAGGTTGGGCCCAAAGGCATATGATTTTTTTGCCTAGAAACTTGGCCAAGAGAGATTAAAATTGTTGTGAGAATAATAACGAGAAGGGAGACAAGGGTACCAGTAAATGTCTAATAGATATATCTATACTCATATTAATAAGAAAATTTAAAAGATACACTTTTTTCTCTTATATTTATAATAATTCTAATTATATAGATTAGGAAATGACAATTCCTAAAATCTAGAGATAAAAATTTAATCCAAGGTTGTCAGATACCAAATCTGAGACTTTATGCAATATACCACACTGACATATCAGATTGACTCAGAAATTACAACAGCTGCATTTATAATATGCTACCAGTTTAATTAACTTTGCACTATTAATAGTTTCTGAATTAGGAGAACCAGTGGGGCCAATGAGACCCTGAGCTTGTCAGCAAACATTCCCAGGTCAGACACCCATGTGTCCTGATTAAAACCACAATTTGTGTAAAATACTTTCATTCAGAGAGAGGGGGCCTCAAAAGACCTTATTTAATTGAATGTTTAGTCAATTAAATGTCCTCCTGATCCATGCAGTCAAAACATTTAATGGCAAGAAGGAAAGTCATTTCTCATTTCTAAAACTAAAGAGTATATTTTTAATGTGAAAGGTTATTTAATTTTGCCATATTAAAACAAATGAGGACCAGTGGTTTTATAATATCAATATATTTGTTTACATTGTAAGGGGTTATTTATAATAAAAGCAATTTTATATTACATGTTACTGTGTGTTTCTGTTTTCAGAAAAAAAATGAAAACTAAAAGAAAAAACAAACACAATTGTATTTCAAATAAATCTTAATCAAACTGAAGGGAAAAGAAGAGAAAATCTAATCCAAGTAGTTCATGAATACATTTCAATCTTTAGGAGCATGTTGTTGGGGAAAACAGCAAAATCTTTTTTGTTATGTGGGCAAAGCAATTCTGAAACTAAGATGTATTATAGGACTAAGCAAATAAGTAAATATATTGATATTATTGAGAGTCAGAGTTCTCACTATGAAAGAAGTGGCATTTAAATAAGGAATGGGGAAGGAAAAAAGAATTCTGTGAGGACGAAATGGATTAAAGGTATTGGTGTGGGCTCATGATTTCTAATATGTGTGCATGTGTGTCTATATGCATATGTATGTGTATATATGACATGTATACACATGTATTACAGTATTTTTTTCCCTCGAATCCACGTTTCTTTCATAGAGTCTCAATGCCAAGCATTTAATGCAGTCTGCAAACTTATTCCTGGGAACAGTCTGGTTCTAGCATTTTCTTAAAATTTCTTTATATATATATTTTTTCTTAAAGTCAACATTGTTTAAATTAAAATCAGTCTTTGTTTCCTTATTTCTTGCTTTGAGTCTAGGAAATGTGTTTAAATGGAGACAGGGCAAACACTGATAGACGTTGCATGCGGTGGAAGTATGTAGTCCATTTAACAGAGTGGTTCTTAGCCAGGCTATTTTGCCCCTAGGGGACATATAGTCATGTTTGGAGACATTTTTGGTTGTCACAGCTAGGAGTGGTGGTTGTGTTGGCATCTAATTGGTAGGGGTCAGAGATGTTGCTAAACATCCTACAATGCACAGGATACCACCTCACTCTCACTCCCACTCCACAAAAAATGAGCTGGCCCAACATGTCCACAGTGCTGGAGTTAAGAAATATTTATTTAACTGAGTAGAAGAGACGCTATTAGAACTATTTAGGCAGATTTGATTTTCAAGTAGAGACAGAAATATAACTTACTGAATAAAAGTCATATTTATGTTTTGTAAACAAATTTTTATGAAATTTCAGCATTGTCTTTTATCATTAAAACCTGTACTGCACAGATGTTTACAGAACAACCATGATTGTCACATGACAATAGTGCTTTCCATTTTAAACAGCTTTTCTCTTGCTTTTCCGATTGTTTTCAGAACCATCTAAAGTTTGACATTCAGAATTAAGGTTTTAAAAAATTACTCTTATTTCTCATTCATTTTTGAAGTTTCCCACTTCCTATGTGATGTTTGGGGAATGTTTTTATTTTTCTCATCTTACTATAGACGCTCTCAATTTAACATGTATATTGGAATCATCTGGGGAGCTTTTAAAACATCCTAATGCCTGGGTTCACTCGCCGGAGATTTTGATTTGTTTGATTTGGGATGATGCCTAGTTCTAAGAGGTCTTCAGGTGATAATAATATGCAGCTAAATTTTAGAAACACTAGTATATTCTTTTTAGTTAAATTCATCAGTGGAAGTTAAGCATTTTAATTACTAATGTGCTTCATTTAAAAAATGATCACGAGATCAATATAAAATAATATACAGTGAATAGACTGTGAGAAATTAATACTTAAATACCAAGTAGGCTCTGCTATTGCTCCAAAAAAATTATCTCTATTAGCATATCCTCTTCCTCCATCACCTAAATGAATGTTGGGATGCTCCTACTAGACTGAGTTTATAAAAAGGACTATAAATTTCATTAATCTTCAGCTGTTATCCTGGTATCTACTGGCTATCAATATCCTGAAACTTTTACACCACTGCAAATTAATCTATGAATCCTTAACATGTTCTAGACTATGTGCTAAGCACTTTATGGGCATCTTGTTATCTAGTTCTCAACAAAGCTCAGTAAGCTAGTGATTATTTGCTTCCTCTGCAGTTGAGAAGAATGGCTTCAGACATGAAAATCCACCTTGTCATTCAAAGCTAGTAAGTGGCAAATCCAGAATTTAAACTCAAGTGAATCTTTTTGAAAAGCTATGATTTTAACCTTTGTTGTGCATACTCCCCATGAGGGGACTAGTTGATGCTGAGTCATACAAAGACCACAGGGACCCATGCGGAGGGAAATGCAGAAATGGGCAGGATATGAGACATCTTCCTGCCGCATGTTACCATCCTGATCCCCCTGCTTTTCTTTAATTGCTTAATTTTACAAGCCCTGGCTAGGGAGGCTGTTCTATGTGAAGTGCTTCAGTAGAGGCGAGTTTTCTCCAAAATTTATTTTTTATTTTTATTTTTTGTAGAGACAGTGTCTTGCTATGTTACCAAGGCGGGGCTCTATCTCCTGTCCTCAAGCAATCATCCTGCCTTGGTTTCCCAAAGTGCTGGGATTATAAAGCCACAGTGTCCACCCTGAGACTAGTTTGACTATGTTTAGGAGATCATCCCTGCAGAAAATACAAGGCAGAAATTTCACAGCAGCATCCTTTGGGAAGGTGCTACAGACCATCGTTATAGAGAAAAACATGCCTACCGATGGATCAATAGAATTCCTGGTGTAGCGCCCTTCTTTTCTTTGTTGTTCTGTTGATTACACTGGGAGTATAGTGGCTTGGGCTCTTTTGTTGTAAGTAACTGAAATAAACTCTGGGGAACTAGTAAATTTAAGCAAATGCAACATTTTTAAGGGTATGGTTGGAAAAGAAGGCTGAAAAACCAGGCTTGGAAGAAATAACTACCAGGCAGTTACCAAAAGTCTTCACAGAAGAAATCACTTGACAGTTTCACCTGAGCTCCACTGCTGGAAAAAATGAATACCTTTTTTTTTTTTTTGTCCTTACATTACTTCAGAGTCAAAATCTTAGGAGAGAAGGTCCAATTAGCCCGATTTAGGAAACACGTTTCACACAAGGGCAACGAGAAGGCGAATGACAGCATCTGGTAGAAGAAACTTTCCCTCTTTTCATGGGATGAGGTTAAAATTGCTTGATTTATTCTCCCACCAAGATTCTATAAAAATAATATAGACTAAGCATTTACCCAAAGGGAATAAGGACATACACAAAAATGGCAAATTCACAATATGGGGTCTCAGCAGAAGGCACTGTACAACAAAGACACAAAATAAAATCTTTCACATCAGATTTAGATTTCTTTTTTTGAAAAAAATTAGAAAATCTGCAAATACTAGACCCACACATCCCCTCAGGACAACAATCTGTTGGACTGGAAAAGAGGCTGTCACCTCTAGATCGACATAAACTTTCCAGTTCCCCATAGTCCTTACCACTCTTTATTATCTCACAGCTGGCCCCTTCACGTCTTTCCAGTACCTCTATGGTCTCTATAGTCCTAGGGATTCTTGAATTCCCACGAAGGCTCTCCAGGAAGTTCTCTTTTATGGTTGATAGCCAAGAATAACTTCATCAAACTTGGAAAAAATCAAACTCTTCTGCCAAGAATTACTGTATTAGTTGCAATACTTCTGCTGGATCTGCCCCGTTCCCTCACCCTTCTTTCACTGAGGCCTTGTCTACTTGTATATTTCCAGAAATGTTGAAACCAGTACATTCAAATCTCTTTGCCTGAGATGCTGCTGAGAAACCACACATCTCAGATTAAGAAGCCATGCTACTGTTACCTCTTCTGGAACTGAGCTCTGAACTTGGACACTACTTTCTCAGGACAAAAACTCCTATAAAACTTCTTTAAGTTCAGTGTTTTCCCTCTCTGTACTGTCTCTTTCTGATTCAAGCAGTTTTCATCTTTCTGCTAGTTCATCAAACTGCTAGTTCAGTTCACAAAGTCATTTTCGTCTGCCCTGTAGGCTCCTTAGATTTTAACATTGAACTTTTTCCAAAAGGAAAGCTAGAATTTTCTTTCTCAATCTGGTCCTTGGAGGAGCAGTAGTTTCACACAAGGCTATGAAGGTACTTACCAAAAATCAGCTGTATTTGTTATCCCAACTTCTTTACCTGACAGGTGCAGCAGCTATGGTAGGTTACATCTGACCTGTAAAGCTAACCTAGAGAAATATTAATATCATTATAGATAACATGTTTATTCTTCATCTGAATGTGCTGCCACATAATAAACAGGTGGCCCCATAAGTCTTTTTTTATCTGGCCTTTATGCAGGCTTTTTAAAGAAATAACTAAGGATTGGAAAAAAATTTCATGATGTCACGTCCACAGAATAGTTTTCCTGATAAATGGAGTAGAAAGACTGAAAAAATGGAAGCACTACAGAGAAAAGCTATCAAACCATCCTTGGTCTTTGAGAAACTATCCCTTAGCTAGTGTCTTACAGCATGAGAGAGGGATTTCTTAACTGCTCAAAGTTAAACTGCAACGTGAAATGGGAAGCTGTTGCAGCCTGGCCAGGCAGTTCAGTTTGCTTTTCACACTTGTAGCACCAACTTCTTTCCAGTGATTCTTAGCCTTGTCAGATATTGTTTTAAGTGGCTCCATGGGAACATGAAGGAAACTTGGGCAACTCTAGGGAGAGAGTTTGTGCAGGAGCCTTGTCACATGAGTCCACTAAATGTTAGGGGAACCTGAGCTATGCTAGGCACCACCTTGCCTGACAATTCTTCTGAAAATCCTGCTGGAAAATTCATCACTGATTTATTATCTGAGCACTAAAAGAAGTAGCTGAATAGTATGTAAGGGCCAAACTTTATAAAAAGTAGGTATTTTTGAGCATTAGGTTTTTTTCCCCCTAAGATGGTGTATAAGAGGCTTTTAGTGTGCCTTAGCCATTTGGAAATAGCAAGATAGTGCATGAAGATCAACTCTGTGAGCTTTAGTTCAACAAAGAAAACAGAATCCACTGGAACCATGAACTACATTCCAGATTAAAGGGAGAAGAATGTGGGGAAACAGCCCCTGCGAATACATCTGCTTGATAAAGGCAGATCTCCAGGCATTTGGAGCACACACTCACCTGGATCAGCAACCTGAACCACCCCACCCTTCCTGTGCAGAGACTGTGGTGCAGTGGGGCCCTCTCCACTCTATGCCCAGGCATTCAGAGCACCGAGTTGCCCAGATTGGCAGCTTCTGTTACCCTACCCTTCTTGTGCAGTGATCTGGGTGCATGGGGGCCCTCTTTGCTTTTGACCCAGTCAGATCTCCAGGCACTCAGAGCGCCCATATATCTGCACCAGTACCCTAAGCCAGCCCACCCTTTCTATGTAGAGACTGTGGTGCAGTGGGGCTCTCTCTACCCCATGCCCAGGCAGGTCTCCAGGCAATAGGAACATTTGTTTGCCTGAATTAGCACCCTGAGCCACCACTGCATTTCTGTGAGGAGATTGTTCAGTGGGACCCTCTACACTCCATGCCCAAGCAGATCTTCAGGCACCCACTCTTCTGAATTAGTAGTTTAGGCAGCACCCATCCCCTTGCAGAGAGCTTGAGGCTAAGGAGGTTTCCTAGTTCCACACCTAGGCACATCTCTGAACACTTGTTAGTTACCCAATGGATTCTCCCCCAGTGCTGGTGCATGTGCCCGCAACCAGAATACTTGTAGTGGTCCTGCCTGGTATGACCCTGCCCATCTTGCCCCTGTACATTCTGGGCTGAGCAGGGTACTCAGGCCACTGTGTACTCCATAGATCAGCCCAATGTCTGAGGCAACAGAGAATATCTCCTGGTAAACAAGGATTAAGTATTAATACACACCCAGTAACAGGCATGTTGGCCATAGCTGACTCTTACCCATAAGTGCCATCTACTGGCTTGTAGGTTGAATGACACAGCCCATTATGAAACCTGCTGAAAAAAGTGTGTATGTCTACAGAAGCATTCTCTACAGTCACATTCACAAGGGAGGTGGGAAAGGGGAAAAAAAAAAAACCCAATAATATAATAGGAAAATAAAATAGTCCTACTCATACAAAAATAATAGAAAGTAGAAATGCCAGTGTCTCCAGATGAGAAGGAACCCACACAAGATTTTCTTGAAAAAACTGAATGTAGTGACACTACCAAAGCCTCTCATTATCTCTCCACCAATGGTCCATAATCAAAATGGAAATTCAGAAATGACAGATAAATAACTCAAAGCATGGATTGCAAGGAAGCTCAATGAGATCCAGTACAAAGTTGAAAATCAACACAAAGAAACTTCTAAATCAATCCAGGAAATGAAGGAACAGATAAACATCTTAAAAAATAAGTCAGCCAAGCTTCTGATATTGAAAAACTCACTTAAAACTGCCAAAATACAATTGAGATTTTTATCAATAGACTGGATTAAGCAGAAGAGAGAATTTCAAGTTTGAAGAACAATCTTTTGAACTAACCCAGTCAGACAAAAATAAAGAGAAAATAATTTTTAAAAATCTTCAAGGAGTATAAGATTATATAAAGCAATCAAACCTCCAAATTATTGGCATTCTTGAGAGAGGAGAAAAAATAAACAACCAAAAAGATATAGTTGAGGAAATAATTCAATTAAATTTCCCTAGTCTTGCTAAAGAGGGAACATCCAGATACAAGAAATCCAGAGAAGACCCACAAGATACTTTACAAAATGAATATCACCAAGGCATATAGTCACCAGACTATCCAAGGTCAATGCTAATGAAAAAACTTAAAGACAGCTAGAGAAAAAGGTCAGATCACATACAATAGGAACCTCTTCAGGTTAACAGTGAACTTCTCAACAGAAACCTTACAAGACAGCAGAGATTGGTGGCCTATTTTCAGCATTATTAAAGAAAAGAAATTCCAACCAACAATTTTATACCCTGCCTTCATAAGTGAAGAAGAAATAAAATGTTTTCCAGACAAGCAAGTGCTAAGGGAATTTGTTACCACTAGACCTGCCTTGTAAGGCACATTTAGGGAGTTCTAGACATGAACACAAAGGAACAAAACTTGTTACCACAAAAACATGTCAATTACATAGCCCACAGACTCTAAAAAAGCAACCAGAAACTACAAAGCAAATAGAAACTACAAAGTGACCAACTAATGATATAGTGATAGAATCAAAACTTCACATATCAAAATAACCTTGAACTTAAACAGTCTAAAAGCCCTATTTAAATGGCATAGAGTTGCAAGTTGTATTTTAAAAAAGACTAACACATCTCCTGTCTCTATTGATTGGAATAGTTTCAGAAGGAATGGTACCAGCTCCTCCTTGTACCTCTGGTAGAATTTGGCTGTGAATCCATCTGGTCCTAGACTTTTTTTGGTTGGTAAGCTATTAATTATTGCCTCAATTTCAGAGCCTGTTATTGGTCTATTCAGGGATTCAACTTCTTCCTGGTTTAGTTTTGGGAGGGTGTATGTGTCAAGGAATTTATCCATTTCTTCTAGATTTTCTAGTTTATTTGCATAGAGGTGTTTATAGTATTCTCTGATGTTAGTTTATATTTCTGTGGGATCGGTGTTGATAACCCCTTTATCATTTTTTTATTGCATCTATTTGATTCTTCTCTCTTTTCTTCTTTACTAGTCTTGCTAGCAGTCTATCAATTTTGTTGATCTTTTCAAAAATCCAGCTCCTGGATTCATTGATTTTTTTGAAGGGTTTTTTGTGTCTCTATCTCCTTCAGTTCTGCTCTGATCTTAGTTATTTCTTGCCTTCTGCTAGCTTTTGAATGTGTTTGCTCTTGCTTCTCTAGTTCTTTTAATTGTGATGTTAGGGTGTCAATTTTAGATCTTTCCTGCTTTCTCTTGCTGGCATTTAATGCTATAAATTTCCTTCTACACACTGCTTTGAATGTGTCCCAGAGATTCTGGTATGTTGTGTCTTTGTTCTCGTTGGTTTCAAAGAACATCTTTATTTCTGCCTTCATTTCATTATGTACCCAGTAGTCATTCAGGAGCAGGTTGTTCAGTTTCCATGCAGTTGAGTGGTTTTGAGTGAGTTTCTTAATCTTGAGTTCTAGTTTGATTGCACTGTGGTCTGAGAGACAGTTTGTTATAATTTCTGTTCTTTTACATTTGCTAAGGAGTGCTTTACTTCCAACTATGTGGTCAGTTTTGGAATAGCTGTGGTGTGGTGCTGAAAAGAATGTATATTCTGTTGATTTGGGGTGGAGACTTCTGTAGATGTCTGTTAGGTCCACTTGGTGCAGAGCTGAGTTCAATTCCTGGATATCCTTGTTAACTTTCTGTCTCATTGATCTGTCTAATGTTGAGAGTGGGGTGTTAAAGTCTCCTATTACTATAGTGTGGAAGTCTAAGTCTCTTTGTAGGTTTCTAAGGACTTGCTTTATGAATCTGGGTGCTCCTGTATTGGGTGCATATATATTTAGGATAGTTAGCTCTTCTTGTTGAATTGATCCCTTTACCATTATGTAATGGCCTTCTTTGTCTCTTTTGATCTTTGTTGGTTTAAAGTCTGTTTTATCAGAGACTAGGAGTGCAACCCTGCCTTTTTTTGTTTTCCATTTGCTTGGTAGATCTTCCTCCATCCCTTTACTTTGAGCTTATGTGTGTCTCTACACGTGAGATGGGTCTCCTGAATACAGCACACTGATGGGTCTTGACTCTTTATCCAATTTGCCAGTCTGTGTCTTTTAATTGGAGCATTAAGCCCATTTACATTTAAGGTTTATATTGTTATGTGTGAATTTGATCCTGTCATTATGACGTTAGCTGGTTATTTTGCTCCTTAGTTGATGCAGTTTCTTCCTAGCCTCAATGGTCTTTACCATTTGGCATGTTTTTGCAGTGGCTGGTACTGGTTGTTCCTTTCCATGTTTAGTGCTTCCTTCAGGAGCTCTTTTAGGGCAGTCCTGGTGGTGACAAAATCTCTCAGCATTTGCTTGTCTGTAAAGGATTTTATTTCTCCTTCACTTATGAAGCTTAGTTTGGCTGGATATGAAATTCTGGGTTGAAAATTCTTTTCTTTAAGAATGTTGAATATTGGCCCCCACTCTCTTCTGGCTTGTAAAGTTTCTGCCAAGAGATCAGCTGTTAGTCTGATGGGCTTCACTTTGTGGGTAACCCGACCTTTCTCTCTGGCTGCCCTTAACATTTTTTCCTTCATTTCAACTTTGGTGATCTGACAATTATGTGTCTTGGAGTTGCTCTTCTCGAGGAGTATCTTTGTGGCATTCTCTGTATTTCCTGCATTTGAATGTTGTCCTGTCTTGCTAGGTTGGGGAAGTTCTCCTGGATAATATCCTGCAGAGTGTTTTCCAACTTGGTTCCATTCTCCCTGTCACTTTCAGGTACACCAATCAGACGTAGATTTGGTCTTTTCACATAGTCCCATATTTCTTGGAGGCTTTGTTCATTTCTTTTTATTCTTTCTTCTTTAAACTTCTCTTCTCGCTTAATTTCATTCATTTGATCTTCAATCACTGATACCCTTTCTTCCAGTTGGTCGAATTGGCTACTGAGGCTTGTGCGTTTGTCATGTAGTTCTTGAGCCTTGGTTTTCAGCTCCATCAGGTCCTTTAAGGACTTCTCTGCGTTGGTTATTCTAGTTAGCCATTCGTCTAATTTTTTTTCACGGTTTTTAACTTCTTTGTCATGGGTTCAAACTTCCTCCTTTAGCTCGGAGTAGTTTGATTGGCTGAAGCCTTCTTCTCTCAACTCGTCAAAGTCATTTTCCATCCAACTTTGTTCCATTGCTGGTGAGGAGCTGCGTTCCTTTGGAAGAGGAGAGGCACTCTGATTTTTAGAGTTTCCAGTTTTTCTGCTCTGTTTTTTTCCCCATCTTTGTGGTTTTATCTACCTTTGGTCTTTGATGATGGTGACGTACAGATGGGGTTTTGGTGTGGATGTCCTTTCTATTTGTTAGTTTTCCTTCTAACAGTCAGGACCCTCAGCTGCAGTTCTGTTGGAGTTTGCTGGAGGTGCACTCCAGACCCTGTTTGCCTGGGTATCAGCAGCAGAGGATGCAGAACAGCAGATATTGGTGAACAGCAAATGTTGCTGCCTGATCGTTCCTGTGGAAGTTTTGTCTCAGAGGAGTACCCGGCTGTGTGAGGTGTCAGTCTGCCCCTACTGGGTGGTTCCTCCCAGTTGGACTACTCGGGAGTCAGGGACCCACTTGAGGAAGCAGTCTGTCCATTCTCAGATCTCCAGCTGCATGCTGGGAGAACCACTACTCTCTTCAAAGCTGTCAGACAGGGACATTTAAGTCTGCAGAGGATTCTGCTGCCTTTTGTCTGGCTATGCCCTGCCCCCAGAGGTGGAGTCCACAGAGGCAGGCAGGCCTCCTTGAGCTGCGGTGGGCTCCACCCAGTTCGAGCTTCCTGGCCACTTTGTTTACCTACTCAAGCCTTGGCAATGGTGGGCACCCCTCCCCCAGCCTCGCTGCTGCCTTGCAGTTTGATCTCAGATTGCTGTGCTAGCAATGAGTGAGTCTCCGTGGGCATAGGACCTTCTGAGCCAGGCATGGGATATTATCTCCTGGGTTGCCATTTGCTAAGACCATCGGAAAAGCACAGTATTAAGGTGGGAGTGACCTGATTTTCCAGGTGCCATCTGTCACAGCTTCCCTTGGCTCGGAAAAGGAATTCTCTGACCCCTTGCACTTCCCAGGTGAGGCGATGCCTCGCCCTGCTTCGGCTCTCGCTTGGTGGGCTGCACTCACTGTCCTGCACCCACTGTCCGACGCTACCCAGTGAGATGAACCTGGTACCTCAGTTGGAAATGCAGAAATCACCCGTCTTCTGCATTGCTCACACTGGGAGCCATAGACTGGAGCTGTTCCTATTCAGCCATCTTGGCTCCACCCCTTTTCATGTTATTAATAACACCGAACTGTTTTCTTTTATAAACATATGTGTGCATATACATATATACACATTTTAAAATTGGAATTAATAACTAGATTAATCTGAATATTTTAACAATTATAGTTAAAAAACTGCATATTAGAATGAAATAATTTTAAATCTAGATTATCTTACAATTGCTAAAATAATCATTTTATATCCATTTATTGTATTAAATATCATACGGGTAAACTAACTTAGAAATGATTTAGATATGTACTTGCTAATCTTCAGCTATTAGTTTTGCAAACTGTTTAGTTGTCTTTGATAAGTGAGGACATATTAAACTACACAATTAATTTCCTGGCAAATGAATGCAACCCAACTTACCCTTCCAAAAACCAAAAACAAAACTCAAAAACTTATTTCAAACAATCTGGTTACTAATTTGTTATTTTAATAACTTAATAGCTCTTTCTCACTTTGTAGGAAATCAAATGCAGTCACTTTGTGTAAATGCAAAACCCAATATAGGAGAAATGAAAATCATATAAATATTTTACTGCAATTTCTCTCATAAGCTATGTAACATTTATGTCTGGACTATTAAGTACTTAACCTACCTAAACCTTGTGGAGGCCACGGTAAATGTTTTCCTCACCAACTTCTTACACAAACCTGGAAGCTCAAGCTTAAGCTAGGAGGTTGATTTCTACTACACAAGTAACAGTATGACTCTTTTCATACCCCTGCCAGAGGCAATTATGACTGTATTTAATTCCTGAATATATGGTTCTTTGAACTCCTATTCAGAATTTCAGAGGGTAAAAATAAATGCTTTTTGTCAAAACACAGTATCTATTTTTAAAGATAGTCTTTGTTTTCCTTCCATACTTTTCATTCACAAATATACATTGTATAATGATGTCTAATGACCAATATCGTTTGGCTCTGTGTCCTCACCCAAGTCTCATCTCAAACTGTAATCACCACAATCCCCATGTGTGTAGGGAGGGAATTGGTGGGAGGTGACTGAATCAGGGACTGATTTTCCCTATGCTATTCTCATGATAGTGAATGAGTTCTCACAATATTTGATGGTTTTAAATGGGCTCTTTCCCCCTTCACTCAGAACTTCTCCTTCCTGCTGCCTTGTGAAGAAGGTGTCTTGCTTCCTCTTCACCTTCTGCCATGATTGGAAGTTTTCTGAGGCCTCCCCACCCATGCTGAACTGTGAGTCAATTAAACCTCTTTCCTTTATAAACGACCCATTTTCAGACAGTTCTTTATAGCAGTATAAAAATGGACTAATACAGTCAATTGGTACCACAGAAAGTGGGATACTGCTACAAATATAACAAAAAATTTGGAAATGACTTTGGAAATGGGTAACAGGCAGAGGTTGGAATTGTTTGGAGTACCAGAAGACAGGAAGATGTGGGACAGTTCGAAACTTCCTAGAGAGTTGTTGAATGGCTTTGCCCAAAATGCTGATAGTGGTATGGACAGTGAAGTCCATGCTAATGTGGTCTCAGTTGGTGATGAGGAATTTGTTGGGAATTGGAATAAAAGTGACTCTTGCTGTGCTTTCAGAAAGAGATTGGTGGCATTTTGCCTCTGCCTTAGAGATCTGTGGAACTTTGAACTTGAGAAAGATGATTTAGGGTACCTGGGAGCATAAATTTCTAAGCAGCAAAGCATTCAAGAGGTGACTTAGGTACTCTTAAAAGCATTAAGTTTTATGTATTAATAATGAGATGGTTTAGAATTGGAACTTATGTTTAAAAGGGAAGCAGAGCAGAAAAGTCTGGAAAATTTGCAGCCTGATAATGCAATAGAAAAGAAAAATCCATTTTCTGAGGAGAAATTGAAACTGGCTACAGAAATTTGCTTAAATAATGAGGAGTTAAATGTTAATTGCCAAGACAATGAGCAAAATTTTGCCAGGGTATGTCAGAGGTCTTACAGCAGTCCCTCCTATCACAGGCCCAGAGACCTAGGAGGGACAAATGGATTTTGGGCCAGGTTTAGAGCCTAGCTGCTTTGTACACTCTTGGGAGTTGGTGCTCTGAATCCCAGGCATAGCAAAAAGGGGTCAATGTACAGCTCAGGCCATTGCTTCAGAGGGTGCAAGCCCCAAGCCTTGGCAGCTTATAGGTGGTGTTGGGCCTGCAGCTGCACAGAAGTCAAGAATTGAGGTTTGAGAACCTTCACCAAGATTTTAGAGGATATATCAAAATGCCTGGATCTCTAGGCAGAAGTTTTCTGCAGGGGTGGTGCCCTCATTGAGAACTTCTGATAGGGTGCTGTGGAAGGGAACTGTGGGGTTGGAGCCCTCACACAGAGTCTTCTTAGGGGCACTGTCTAGTGGAGCTGTGAGGAGTGGCCACTGTCCTCCAGACCCCAGAATGGTAAGTCCACTGTGCAGTTGGAAAAGCCAAAGACACTCAGTGCCAGCCTGTGAAAGCACCTGAGAGGGGGGGTGTACCCTGCAAATCCACAGAGGCAGAGCTGCTCAATACCATGGGAATTCCCCTCTTACATCAGCATGACCTGGATGTGAGACATGGAGTCAAAGATCATTTCAGAGCTTTAAGATTTGACTGTCCCCCTGGATTTTGGACTTGTATGGGGCCTGTAGCCCCTTTGTTTTGGCCAATTTCTTCCATTTGAAATAAGAATATTTACCCAATGCCTGCACCCCTATTGTGTCTTGGAAGTGACTAACTTGCTTTTGATTTTATAGGCTTATAGGCAGATGGGACTTGCCTTGTCTCCAATGAGTCTTTGGACTGTGGACTTTTGAGTTAATGCTGAAATGAGTTAAGACTTTAGGGGACTGTTGGGAAGGCATGATTGGTTTTAAAACATGAAAAGGCATAAGATTTGGGAGGGTAAGGATGGAATGATGTGGTTTGGCTCTGTGTCCTCACCCAAATCTCATCTCAAATTGTAATCTCCATAATCCCCAGGTATGAAGGGAGGAACTTGGTGGGATGTGATTGGTTTGGTGGGGACGGTTTTCCCCATGCTTTTCCCATGATAGTGAGTTCTCACAAGATCTGATGGTTTTATAAGGGGCTCCTCTCCCTTCACTCATTTGCTCTCTCTCACCTGCCACCATGTAAGATGTGCCTTTACTTCTCTCTCACCTTCCACCCTGAAGTTTCCTGAGGCCTTACCAGCTGTGTGAAGCTGTGAGTCAGTTAAACCTCTTCCCTTTATAAATTACTCAGTCTTGCGTATGTCTTTATAGCAGTGTGATAGTGGACTAATATAATGATCTCTCAGTTGATAAAACTCCAAATATATATTAATAGATTATTACTCTAAGGTTGTAATATATTATGAGAGATATGGCTATAAGGTTAATTATAGACATGAGGTCCATTTTAGCATCTTGTAGGGGCTACACTATGTGTCATGTAGAAGTATGATATAACAGGTGGCCTGGTGATTTTCAAAACTGGCCCAGGGATTACTAGGTTCCTATGACCACCAGCCCAAAACATCTGGATGCTCTAGAAACAAGGCCACCTCAGCACAGATGCAACTTTCATGAGCCTTAAAACAAAGTTCACCTTTACAAGAATAGCTTAAAATCTTTTAATGAAGGAAATGCCTGATAACTGACTCAGACCAAATACAGGTATATGAAAGGGGGGAAAATTCCCTAAACTCTGAGAATGTCTCAGATGGAGACCCCAAGCAGTTGGTCATCTGACCCTTGAGTGTATCAGCACCATGAATCCAGCCTTCTCCCACTATGTATCTTGTAAGAGCACTGCCAGAATAAACTGCCTGAACATCAGAAAGTGTCTAAAACTCATTGTTGACATGAATTGAACTTAAGGTGAAATGTCATTGCTGGCAAGCTGGTTAAATAGGATCAACCAAGACCCCCCAAACGTAACAAAATTTTTATTATTTATTTCTTCATTATTTTAGAGACAGAGTCATGCTCTGTCACCCAGGCTGGAATGTAGTGGTTCCAAGTTGGTTCAGTGCAGCCTCAACCTCCTGGGCTCAAGAGATCATCCTACCCCAACCTCCCCAGTAGTTGGAACTACAGGTACACACCACCATTCCCAATTATTGTACAGGTGCACAATTATTAGGAAAATTTATTCTGTATAATTTATTATTATTATTATTGTAGAGATGGGGTCTCACCAGGTTGCCCAGGTTTGTCTTAAACTCCTGTGCTTAAGCAGTCCTCCTGCTTCGGCCTCCTAAAATTTTGGAATTATAGGGATGAGCCACCATGACCAGCCAAAAGTATCTTTTTTTTTCTTTTTTTTTTTTTTTTTTTGAGACAGAGTTTCGTTCTTGTTGCCCGGGCTGGAGTGCAATGTCATGAGCTCAGCTCACTGCAACCTCTGCCTCCTGGATTCAAGAGATTCTCCTGCCTCAGCCTCCCAAGTAGCTGGAATTACAGGCATGCACCACCATGCCCAGCTAATTTTGTATTTTTAGTAGAGATGGAGTTTCTCCATGTTGGTCAAGCTGGTCTTGAACTCCCAACCTCAAGTGATCCACCCACCTCAACCTCCCAAAGTGCTGGGATTACAGGCATAAACCAACACACCTGGCCAGAAAATATCTTTTTAAATAATTTGCTTTGAATTTCATAAACATGGCAAAAGATAAAGACTTGTTTATTAGTTTTCATAATTGACATTTTTGATCTCACTAAATCTGATAAATATAAAGAAAATATATTTTTAGACAGTGTCTCACTCATTTGCCCAGGTTAGAGTACAGTGGTGTGATTATGACTCATTGCAGCCTCAATCTCCCAGGCTCAAGTAATCTACCTCAGCTTCCTGAGTAGCTGGGACCACAGTTGAAGAAATTTTTATACCATGGCAATTCTTTGGCTCATTTTACTACCAAGTTGGATTTACTTGGCATGAGCCATTAGCTTCTGTCATTCATTTATATGTGTTTATAAAGAATAATTAGAAATGCTTTCTCCTTCTTCACCTATAGAATGAATTAGCAGGTGGCACCTCCCGTCAAATAGTTTCTTGTATTTGTTTTTATCTTTCAAATGTATATTGATCTACAGTATTTATTGAAATTTATTTATACTTAAATAATTTCAATAGTTTAATGTTAAAAAGATTTTACATCATCAGAAAATCCCTCACAACCTGTGTACACAAAATATCTATAGTTGTTGCCAATGTTGGGTGGCTCTGTGGGCCTACCCAAATCTCATCTCAAATTGTAATCCTCATGTGGGGTCAGAAGAAGGATCTGGTGGGAGGTGATTGGATCATGAGAGCAGATTTCTTCCATGCTGTTCTAGTGACAGTGAGTGAGTTCTCACAATATCTGATGATTTAAAAATGTGTCACTTCTCCCTCACTCTCTCTCTCTCCTGCCACCATGTAAGATATGCCTTGCTTCCTCTTTGCCTTCTGCCATGATTGTAAGTTTCCTGAGGCCTCCCCAGCCACGTTCAAGTACGTGTCAATAAAACCTATTTTCTTTATAAATTACCCAGTCTTAGGTAGCTCTTTATAGCAGTGTGAAAATCGACTAATACAGAAAATGGGTCCTGCAGAGAGTGAGAAACTGCAGAGAGTGAGAAAATGTGGAAGCAAATTTGGAACTGGAAACAGACAGAGGTTGAAAATATGTGGTGGGCTGAGAAGAAGAAAGATGAGGGAAAGTTTGGAACTTCCTAGAGACTTGTTGAATGGTTTTGACCAAAATGCTGATAGTGATATGGACAGTTAAGTCCAAGCTGAGGTGGTCTCAGATGAAGATGAGAAACTTACTGAGAACTGGAGCAAAGGTCACTCTTGCTATGCTTTAGCAAAGAGACTGGCAACATTTTTCCCCTGCCCTAGAGATCTGTAGAACTTTGAACTTGAGAGAGATGATTTAAGGTATCTGGCAGAATAAATTTATAAGCAGCAAAGCATCCAAGAGGTGACATGTTTGTTTCTAAAAGGATATAGTTATATGCATTCACAAAAAGATAATCTGAATTGGATGTAAAAGGGAAGCAGAGTGTAAAAGCTTGGAAAATTTGAAGCCTGACCATGTGGTAGAAAAGAAAAATGCATTTTCTGAGCAGAAATTCAAGCTGGCTACAGAAACTTGCATAAGTAATGAACAGCCAAATGTTAATAGCCAAGAAAATGTGAAACATGTCTCCAGGGCATTTCAGAGATCTTCATGGCAGCCTCTCCCATCACAGGCCAAGGGGCTTAGGAGTGAAAAATGGTTTCATGGTCCAGGCCCAGCACCCTATTGCTCTGTGCAGCCTCGGGACATGGTGCCCTGCATCCCAGCCACTCCAGCTCCAGCTGTGGCTAAAAGAGACCAAGGCTCAGCTTGGGTCACTGCTTTAGAGGGTGCAAGCCCCAACACTTAGTGGCTGTCACGTGGTGTAGGGCCTGCAGGTGCACAGAAGTCAAGAATTTATGTTTGAGAACATCCACCTAGATTTCAGAGGATGTATAGAAAAGCCTAGATGTGCAGGCAGAAGTCTACTTCAGGGATGGAGAACTTCTGCTATGGCAGTACAGAGCAAAAATGTGGGGTTGGAGCCCCCACACAGAGTCTCCATTGGGGCACTGCCTAGTGGAGCTGTGAGAAGAGTGACACAATCCTCTAGACCCGAGAATGGTAGATCAACCAACAGCTAACACCATTTGCCTGAAAAACACATAGGCACTCAGCACCATCCTGTGAAAGCAGCTATGGAAACTGTACACTGCAGAGCCACAGGGGCAGAGCTGCTGAAGGCCCTGGGAGCCCATCTCTTGCATCAGCTTGCCCTGGATGTGAGACACGGAGTCAAAAGTTATTACTTTGGAGCTTTCAGATTTAATGGCTTCTCTCTTGGTTTTCAGATTTGCATGGGGCCTGTAGCCCCTTTGCTTTGGCCAATTTCTTCCTTTTGGAATGGGAACATTTACTCAGTGCCTGCACTTCCATTGTATCTTGGAAGTAAGTAACTTGTTTTTTATTTTACAGGCTCATAGGTGAAAGTGACTTCTCTTGTCTCAGATGAGACTTTGGACGTGGACTCTGGGGTTAATGCTGGGATGACTTAAGACTTTGGGAAACTGTTGGAAAGAAATGATTATGTTTGGAAATGTGAGTAGGACAAGATTTGGTAAGGGCCAGGGGCAGAATGATATGGTTTGGTTCTGTGTCCCCACCCAAATCTCATCTTCAGATGTAATCTCCACATGTCAAGGGAGCGACATGGTGGTTAGTAATTGGATTATGGGTGTAGTTCCCCCATGGTGTTCCCATGATAGTGAGTGAGTTCTCATGAGATCTGATGGTTTAAAATTGTTTGACAGTTCCCCATCTCTCTCTCTCTCCTGCTCCCATGTAAGACATGCCTTGCTTCCCCTTTGCTTTCTGCCATAATTGTAAGTTTCCTGAGGTCCCCTCAGCCATACAGAATTGTGACTCGATTAAACTTATTTTCTTTATAAATTACCCAGTCTGAGGTAGTTATTTATAGCAGTGTGAAAATGGACTAATACAGAAAATATTTGCTTGTTTTCCTGTTCTTCATCAATGGAACCAAATGTTAAACATCTTCACTTTATATCTATAAAATATATGTAGAGTTTAAGAAAATAAGTTAAGAAAACAAGGAGAATTTGACTTAAGTAACACAATGGCAGCAACCAGTACCATACCTAGTACTTTTTAACCCATTCCACCTCCAGCACTCAAAAAGAGCCAACAGTTACAGAGCAGTTAATAAATATTTCTAATGCCCTATCTGGCACACTTCAATAGCATACACATTTAATTCCCACAATCTTCCTGTGGGGTAAGTAGTATGATTGTCTTTCTTCCATAGATAAGTAGTAATTATAGTAGTCAGAACTATGGTCCTCAAAGATGTTCACATCCTAATTCCTAAAATCTGTGAATATGTTGCTATGCATGGCAAAGCAGACTTTGCAGTTGTAGATAAATTAAGGATATTAAAATTGAGAGGTTGTCCTGGATTATTCAGGTCAGCTCAATGCAATCACAAGAGTCCTCATAACAGGGAGAAGAAAGAGTCAGAGTCAGAAAGAGGATGTAGTAACAGAAGCAGAATTGGAGACATAAGCAGAATTCTGAGGATGTTACAATTGGTTTTGAAGATGGGGGAAGTGACCATGATCCACGGGCTGCAGGCTGCCTTTACAAGCTAGGAAAGTAAAAGAAATGTATTCTCCCCTAGAGCTTCCAGAAGGAATACAATTCTGCTGACATGTTGATTACATGTGTGTGTGTGCATACTCACATACACACACACACACTCACTCATACCCTATTAGACTAGGACTATTGCATCACTGCATAATGCTAGCTATCAATTGTTTTATGAGAAATAACTAAGACAGTAGCCAATGTATATTCTTTGTACACTGCTAAGTATATAATAAAGTAAAAAAGTTTCAATTTTCTTCATTAAACTGTTCTATTTTGCTTACTTTCATCTGATCACCAGTTTGAAAAATCAATGAACAATAATAATAATCTGTAATGTCTTCAATTCCTGAGTTGTAAATCAAGTTTCAAATTCTGTAAGTGAGCATTAGATTTTTAAGGTCTATAAAGATATAATTCAGGCTTGAGTACTCTTTCTAGCCCTGAATCCTAGCACGGACTATGGTACTGAGTAATGTCTCATTGAAAGTTTGTTGAATACATTTGAACAAGGCAATAAATACTAAGGAAACTACATTTCTTATATAATTTTTGTTCAATTATTTTCAGTATAATCTCTCATGTGTATGACTATGTGAATGTGTATCTGCATTTTCTTTCCACCAGCATGTGATATTTGTGTTTTCTTTCTATAGTAGTACAGGTTTTCTTGCTTTATGACAGTATTTCATCTTTATTTGATGCCTGGCCAAAAGTGTGAGTGAGGCTTATCTTCATAATTTAGAGGAAAGAAAAACAAACTGATATTACAAGAGTATTGCTCACATAGTACTTAGGACAACGTAGGGATATCAATGATTATTATAATTAAATGAGATTATATGATGATGCCAGTGATAACAATTATGATAAAATAAAATAATTCTTCTTAGTTACTTGTTACTAAAGTGTCAATGAACAAACAGTCAATGCCTAAATGTTCATTTACAAGTGAAAAAAATTGGATGGATTAAAAGGGATTGATTAAATCCATTAATATTTAGCAAATATACATCCTAATCCACACTAAACCCAGAAGCACAAATGCCTGGGTTTTTAGACAACATGATGGTAAATGTGAGCATGTTTTTGTCTGATAATCTAGCTGCCCAAATATCTCTAAAATGAAACTTAATGAATGAGACTAGCATTCTCATTTGAGAGCTAAATATCTCAGTAATCTTCAGCAGCCAAAGGAAGCTCAAGGTCCCCCTCCTACTGGAAATTAAGGGAGGTAGACTAAATCTGAAACACAATTTTTTAGTGTATCAGTTCTCCCTACTAAGAACTCTCCAACTGCCATCTCATTTTCACTACTAAAATCACAGTACCGGTCGCTCTATTCTGTCTTCAGCAATAAGCAAGTAATTAATCAAACCCCAAGGAATAGTTACAAGAAGTCTCTTTATAAGTCCTTTTCTGTAGTATAATGATAGGTCTTCCCTATCCTGCCATTTTTCTTGAGCCCTATATACTCACATATGTGCAGGGATGCTAACTGCTATCATAAAGAAGCTGGAACACATTTCTGAAAAGATTCGAAGACATTATGTCCTAGCCAGACCTCTTCCAGCTCTACTGCCTTTCTTGAAATTCCTCATTGTTCCTCCTTATATCCTTTCTTGTTATATTTTTTAATATAACATGATAAAACATTCTCCAGATAGCATAGCCTCTTCTGGACCACAATATTCTGGAGCAGATATTCTAAGGAATGAAAGGGGCTGATGTTGCTATTTTTGTTTGCATTTAAATCAGTTTGCTACAAGGTATTATCCAAATAGCTTGAATTAAAATCCATAAACCATGAAACTTATGATAAATGAGGAGAAAGCTTGTTTGCAAAGAGACACAAATAAACCACAACACAAATAAAAGAGGGTAAAGTGGGAACAAAACCTAAAAAAATTCTATTTTGCCATTGTAATCTGAATTGGAAATTTTAAAACTAGCATTTATGTAGGGGTGAAGGATAGGGGGTGGAGAGAGAAAAAAAACAAACAACAAACAAATACTTTATTCCATCTAAACACTGAATGTGAGTTTGATTGATGAGTGTTACCAACAGACCTGCACTGAAAGACTGTGAGAATGAACTAACCAGGGAGTAGGCAGATGGCTCCAATGTGATAAGTGCTTCTCCTCTGCCAAACAGCTCACAGCTCACAGTTCACAATCTGATAAGTGCTTCCCCCGCAGACCCTCCCTCACTCCAGCTCACACTTTTTTTGTGTGTACCAGTTTAGCCATTCTTTTCTTCTTCATCTAATTGACTTACCTAATTTGGAGCACAATGTAAGTAAAATTACTTCATCAAATCTTTTATTTACAAAAGCCAAAGCACATTTTATGCAGCACTCCTTGGAGAACTAAAATAATAAACCTCTAGGCTGGGCGCGGTGGCTCATGCCTGTAATCTCAGCACATTGGGAGGCCGAGGTGGGCGGATCACTTGAGCTCAGGCGCTTGAAACCAGCTTGGGCAACATGGTGAAATACTCCACAATAAATACCAAAAATTAGCTGAAACCCTGTCTCCACAATAAATACAAAATATTAGTTGGGCATGGTGGTGCACACCTGTAATCCCAGCTACTCATGGGGGCTGAGGCGGAAGGGATAGCTTGAGACTGCGAAGTCGAGGTTGGAGACTGCACCACTGCACTCCAGCCTGGGTGATAGAGGGAAACTGTCTCAAACAACAACAACAAAGACAACAAAAAAAACTATTGTTACTATTTATGTGTTAAAATGGCTACCAAGCGTAGTTTAGAGGAAAAGACATTCTTAAAAAATCAATTAGAAAATGCTTCCTTCTTTGAGAGTGATACTTATGCTTACCTTAACACAGTTACATATGCATGCATATGTAATATGTAATTCACATAAGAAAGCAAATATTAGTCCTATTCTCAGCTCACATCCTACTCCATTCAACCTCACAAGCGTATATCTTAATATTAGGGGAACATCTTGCCATTCTGAGAATGAACCTAATGTTTTCATTTTTTAATTTCAACTTTTATTTTAGATTTCTAGATTTAGACACTACATGTGCAGGTTTGTTCCAGTTTTGTTCTTCTGGATATAGTCAGTTTTCTCAGTACCGTGTATTGAATAGAATGTCCTTTTTTTATGGTTTATTGGCTTTGTTTAGCATCACTTGGTTGTAAGTTTGTATCTTTTATTTCAAGGGACTCTATCCTGTTACCTTGGTCTGTGTGTCAATTTTTGTACTAATATCATGCTGTTTCGATTACTGTAGCCTGGTAGCATAGTTTGAAGTCAAACTTTGTTCTTTCAGCTTAGGATTTTAGGATTGCTTTCGCTATTTAGGTTTTTTTGGTTTTTTTTTGTTTGTTTTTTTTTTGCTCCATATGAATTTTAGAATAGTGTTTTTTTTTTTTCCTAATTCTGTGAAATGATGTTGGTAATTTGATAGAAATAACATTGAATCTGTAGATTGCTTTGGTCAGTATGGATATTTTAATGATATTGATTCTTCCAACCCTTGAGCATGGAATGCTTTTCTATTTATTTCTGTCATCTACAATTTCTTTCAGCAGTGTTTTGTAGTTCTCCTTGTAAAGGTTTTTCACCTCCTTGGTTAGGTGTATTCCTGGGTATTTTAATTTTTGTGTGTGTGGCTATTGCAAGTGGAATATTCTGTAGATGTCTTTTCGATCCAACTGATCAAGCATTGAATGTTAGTCCAGAATTTCCTTGTTAGCTTTCTGCATTAATTGATCTATCTAATGCTGTCAGTGGGGTATTGAAATACCTCAGTATTATCCTGTGGCTGTCAGAGTCTTTTCTTAGGTGAAAAGTAGTTGTTTTATGAATCTGGGTCCTACAATATTAGGAGCATATATATGTAGAATACTTAAATCTTCTTGTTGAATTGAAAGCTCTGTGATTTAGTAATGCCCTTCCTCATCCTTTTTTTACTGTTGTTGGTTTAAAACTTATTTTGTCTGATGAAAGATAAAAAAAAAGACCTTGGCTCTTTTTAGTTTTCCATTTGTGTGTCAGATCTTTCTCCACCCTCTTACTTTGAACGTATGGGCATTATTATTATATATGTGAGATGGATCTCTTGCAGCCAGCAGAAGTTAAGTTGTTTTTTGTTGTTGTTTAAATCAAATTTGCCACCCTATTTTTTCTTTTCTTTTTTTTCTTTGAGACGGAGTCTCACACTCTTGCCCAGGCTGGAGTGCAGTGGCGCCATCTTGGCTCTCTGCAAGCTCCGCCTCCCGGGTTCACGCCATTCTCCTGCCTCAGCCTCCCAAGTCCTGGGACTACAGGTGCCCGCCACCACGCCCGGCTAATTTTTTGTATTTTTGGTAGAGACAGGGTTTCACCCTGTTAGCCAGGATGGTCTCGATCTCCTGACCTTGTGATCCGCCCACCTCGGCCTTCCACCCTATGTTTTTTAATGGGGCATTTAGACCATTTACATTCAAGGTTAATATTGGCATGTGAGGTTTTATTCCTGTCATAGTGTTCTTAACTAGTTGCTACTTAGTCTCTATTGTGTAGTTGCTTTATTGGGTCTATGAGTTATATATTTGCGTATGGTTTTGTGGTAGCAAGTATTGTTCTTTGTTTTCATGTTTAGAACTCCCTTAAGCATCTCTAATAGGGCCAGTCTGTGGTGATGAATTCCCTTAGCAATTATTTGTCTGGGAAATACTTCATTTCTCTTTTATTTATGAAACTTGTTTACCAGGATATGAGATTCGTGACTTGTATTTCTTTTATTTAAGAATGCTAAAAATGGGCCCCAAATCTCTTCTGGCTTTTAAATTTTCTGCTGAGTTGTCCAATGTTAGTCTGATGGGTTTCCTTTCATAGGTAATATGACCCTTTTCTCTAGCTGCCTTTAAGATTTTTTCTTTTGCATTGACTTTGTATAGTGTAATAAGTATGTAACTTGGGGTGGTCATATTGTACAGTATCTTGCCAGAGTTCTGTAGATTTCTTGTATTTGCACATATTTGTACATTCTCACACTGCTATTAAGATACTACCCAAGACTGGGTAATTTATAAACAAAAGAGGTTTGATTGACTGACAGTTATGCATTGGCTGGAAAGCCCTCAGGAAACTTATAATCATAGCGGAGGGCCAAAGGGAAGCAAGGCACATCTTACTTGGTGGCAGGAGAGAGACAGAGCTCAGGGGAAAAGCCAGATACTTATCAAACAACTAGATCTTGGGAGAACTCCCTTACTCTCATGAGAACAGCATGGGGAAACCACCCCTATGATCCAATCACCTCCCACCAGATCCCTCCCTTGACACATGGGGATTACAATTTGAGGTGAGATTTGGGCGGTGACACAGAGCCAAACCATAACACTGCATGTAGAACTCTCTAGCAAGATGGGGTAAATTTTCCTAAATTACATCCTTAAATATGTTTTCCAAGTTGCTTACTTTCTCTTCTTCTCTCTCAGGTATGCCAGTAAATCACATATTTAGTCACTTATATAATCCCATATTTCATTAAATATTTGTTCTTTTTAAAAATTATTTTCTTTTTTTTTTTCAGACTGGGTTGATTCAAGGTTCTAGTCTTTGAGCTTTGAAATTCTTTCTTCTGCTTAATCTAATCTGTTGTAAAGGCCTCCAAGGGTATTTTGAAATTTCTGTAGTTAATTTTTCAATCCCAGGAGTTCTGTTTGTGCCTTTCATAATATATCTATGTCATCTTTCAAATCTTCGATAGTTCAGGCTTCTTTGTGTTGGATTTCAACTTTCTCTTGGATCTCACTAAATTTCTTTGCCTTTTATATTCTGAATTCTATGTCTGTCTTTTCAGACATTTTATGCTGATTAGGATCCACTGCTTGGGAAATACTGGGATCATTTAGTGACAAAACGCCCTGGCTTTTTATATTGCCAGAGTTCTTACACTGGTTTCTTCTGATCTCAGAGAGCCAATTCTTTCTCTCTCTTTCTTTCTTTCTCTTCCTTTCCTTTTCTTCTTCCTTTCTTTCTCTTTCTTTCTTTCTCTTCTTTTCTTCTTTCTTTTTCTCTTCTTCTTCTTCTTCCCCCCTCCCTCCCTCTCTCTCTCTCTCTTTTTCTTTCTTCTTTTTCTTTCTTTCTTTCCTTCTTCTTCCTCCCTCCCTTCCTTCCTTTCTTTTTCTTCCTTTCCTTTCCTTTCTTTCATAAATTTGCTATTATTTGGATGGGGCATCTTGATTTTTTATTCTTTTTTACCTTGGGTGTATGACTGTGATGTATATTGTGTATGATTTATTGGCTTTGTTTCTGGGTGATTTCAGGATTCCAGGGATCTGTACGGGTTCCTTGGTTGCAGATAGGTTTGTGTAGTGGCTTTCTGAGACATTGCTTGTTGTAGCAATGTAATTTTGTTTGCTGGTGTCATTCAGGCTTCAGTCCAGTTGGTGGTGCTTAAGAGTAAGAGCTGGCCAGTAGCAGCAAGGGCAGAGGCCAGGATGAAGCTGAAAAGCACCACCCCCAGAGCACTTTTGCCTTCAGTGGTGGTAGAGCCACTGTAAAAGCTTGAGAAGTGATCTCTTTCAGACCAGGATCCCCGAGCCTTCTTGAGAAGAGCCACTGATGAGTCAGCCACAGTGCACTGAGGTGGGGGAGGGTGGCAAGAGATAACCCTCTCGATTTAGTGATGCTGCCTCCAATAGCTGGTGCTATGTTCATGTTTCCTTTGACTTAAGGGGACATTTGGTGGGCTGCGCTCTCCCCTCCCTTAGGGACAGACTGAGAGTTAGATCTCTGGTTCTGGGTGTTTTCAGTGACAAAGAGTCTGTATAAGTTCTTTGGTTATAGATATCCTTTTTAAGGTGGCTTTCACGAATGCCGGTTGTAGTAGTAATGTAATGGGTGTGGGAGAAGGCTCAATCCCTCCCGTTGTTCTGGGTTTGCAGCTGTCTCAGGAAGCTTATCTCATTTCCCAGTCCTATGTACTTGTGTCCACAAACTTCCTATTGTGTTGTACCATTGAACCTCCAGGTCCATAGGTGGTTCTTATGGGTAAGAGTTGGCTGTGGCCCACTTGGATGGGCATATACTTGATCCTTTTTTTACTGGGAGAAGCTCTGTGTTGCCTCAGGCAATGGGCTGATCCATGGAGTACATAATGGCCTGAGCTCCCTGTTCAGCCCCAGGGGAGGGACCAACATGGGTGGGGCACACTCAGCTAAATGTCCTCAATGGCAGTCACAGGCACCAGCTCCAGAGAGTAGAGAAGTCCAGTGGGCAACCATCAGACACTCAGATGTGTGTTTAGGCATGGAGTTGAGAAACCTCCTCTGTTCTAAGTTCTCTGAATGTGTAGGTGCATGGCCTAAATTCCTAATCTAGAAGAGTGGATGTGTGCTCAAAATGCCTGAAGATATGTCTGAGCCTTGAGAGGAGAGAGTGCTGCTGCATCAGGATCTGTGCACCTGAAGCAGGGATGGCTCAGACTTCAAATCCAGACAAATGGGTATACCACATGCCTGGAAATATTCCCTAGCAACAAGTGGAGAAACTGCAGATGCAACAATGTCTTTGTGAAGGGTGGGAGCTCAGGCTCTTATTCTGGAGGAGCAGATGTGCCTCATGCCAGGTGATATGCCCAGGGAAGGAGCAAGGAAACCACCACCACAACGAGGTCTTTGCATGAAAAGGAAGGGTTGGCTCAAACTCCTAACCATTGGAATGGGTGTGCCAAATGCCTGGAGTTATGCCCGGGTGTGGAGTGAAGGGAGTGCTGCCATACCAAGGTCTTTGCATGTGAAGGGGTGGTGGTTCAAACTCCTATTCCAGGGGGCCAGGTGCACCAAAGTCCTGGAGATATGTCTGAGAATGGAGAAGAGAGTATGCTTCTGCACCATGATCTCTTCACAGGAAGACAGGATCAGCTCAGGCTTCTATCTAAGTAAGTGAGTGTGCCAAATGACTTCGAGTATGCCCTGATGAGGAGTAGAGAAACTGCCACTGCAACAGGCTCTTTACAGAGGAAGGGAAGGAGAGCTCAGCCTACTGACTTAGGCAAGCAGGAGCTCCAATTGTTTGGAAATATGTGCCCTGGCTGAGAGTAGAGTAACTGGTGGTAGAATAAGGTTTTTGTATGAAAGAGGCAGGAGGCAGCTTTGGCAGCTAATCCAGGTGAGTGTCTCAAAATATGCCCAGATGTGGAGTGAAGGGAGCAGTGCTGCACCAAGATCCCTGCTCAGGAAGGGTGGGGTGGCTCAGGCTGCTAATCCAGGTGAGCAGGTGCTCTGAATGCCTGAAGATTTGCCTCAGGGCAGAGTGGAGAGGGTTCCACTGCACCATGATCTTGGGGAAGCAGGCTGGGGCACCCACCAATAGCACACACAAAGACTGGTTCCAGCTTGCCATGCTGGCCTCAGCTGCAAGTCTCACTGCCCAGGAGAAACCATGGCTGCAGCAACTATCTTCCCACTCCAGACCTGTGATGGGGGAAAGCCCAATTCTGGCACCTTCTGCTGGGGTGCTTTTCATACTTGCCACTCAATTCTGGTGGTGGAGGTCCTTCCCCTACTGCAGAGCAAGTGCTCCAATCTATGACCTGAGACTAAAATGCCTGAGAGGCTGCCGGGTCATCAAAGAATGACTGACATTGTATGAGCCTAGATTAAAAATGGCTCTCTCCTCTTGGTCCCAGGTCTGGGAAAATATGCTCCTTTTCCCAGTGCTTTTCCCTGTCAGTATCTCTAAGTCTCTCCCCAGGTTAGCTCCAGGGATTGGGAGAAACAAGATGCTCTCCCTTGGCCTGGGCTGCATGGATCACTAGTGGAAAAGTGAATCACAGAGGGAGACCCTGCCCTTTTCATGTACTGGGCCTTCACTCACTTTTATTAGCCAGATGCTGACATGGGGGCCCACCTTCTCTTCCCCAGGACCTAGTGTGTCTTTAGGTATTCCAGTAGTATTCCCATTTTCCATCTTGAATTAAAGCTCACAGAATTTATCTGTATGCACTATTTTATTATTTCCAAGTGCCTGAAGCATGCTACAAGCCTCTAATCTACTATCTTGGAAAAAAAACCACTACAATTTATTTTAATTCACAGAACAGAATTATTTTCCATGTTTTCTTGGAATATTATTAATCATAACATTTAATATATAGAAAGTGCTAGATGAGATGAACAAAAGTTTATGGCACAATTAAGTGTAGCATCCAGATAAAGGTGTTGATTAGCCTTGAAGCAGAGTGGACAGAAGTTTGTATCTTGGCTGTGCAATTTACTAGCCATGCAACACTGGGTTATCTGTTCAAATTTTCAGAATTTTACTTTACTCTTCGGTAAAATTCTAACAAAATAACATTTTCTATAAGGCTGCTTAGAGATTGTAATTAGATATTTGTTAAGTACTTATTCTTCTGTCTGATACCTAGTAAATGCTCAATGATATTTCAGTACTGAAAGGCAAAAGCATCTTTCTTTCCAAATCTATTGTCCATGGGTTATAGTGCAGTGGTTTGAAAAATAATTTAGTGCAAACAACTTTTTTAAGAAACGAAAGAGGACATGATATTTGTCTACCTTAAATGGTGCAAGTCCATATTCCTGAAGACAGTGACAAATATCTCATTTCAGAATTCTGTTTTCACTACAGGTTAGTACTGGAACATTGAGATATTAAATTGGATTTTCTTTATTTAATCTCTGTCGGCAGCAGCAAAATGTACTTGAATTTCCCTGTTGAGAATAATGCGCACTTGCTTTGCCATTTACTTGCCTAGAAAAGACATTAAACTACTTTTGCTTAGCAAATGTTATATTGTTGGCTTAGATGCAACCCTACAGATACACTGTAAAGTATAATTTAATATCAGAATGCAATAATACCTACTATAGTTCATCACTACATGGCTGTTTCTGCACAAAACCTCTTAACATGCTTTTCAAATCATCAGACATTACTAAGGGACATTAACAACACACTAAGCACTTATGAGAAGTAACCTCCCTCTACTCTAATAAAGTTGCCTTCATTTCAGAACTTCTTCAAACTGAAATTCTGTTGGAAGCTCCGATGGCTCTATGAATTTGAAAGTAAACCCTGACAATGTGTAACAGGCAGAAAAAGAGAGATGGTACTAGAAAAAAGCTAGGTATTTTATAAGTTTATTGAATATTTTACATTCTTTAGTTTCAGGTTTGATCTAAAAAAAAAAAAAAAAACCCTGCTGTTCATTGTGTCCTTTTTTTAAATGATTCACTTGCTGTAGAATACAGTGATTCCTCCATTGGTGGCCTTTTCATTAGCTGTGTAAGTAATTACATGGTAAATGTGTCAGTCAGAACCTGCCTGTGTCTCATGTCTAGCCTACAAACTAGTTAACAGAGAATCTCCCTAACACCTATCACTGGGAAAAGATAAATCCAGCTGCAAAGAAAGTAATCCCACATCCATATGCATGGATCTGTTCTTCTCTGAAACAGATGCTTATTTTAACCAAACTGCTCTAGAGACATCAGAATTTGGTATGACATCATTCCTCCTTGAAAGTAATACAAAGAATCTTATTATAAAAAATATCACAAGGCCTTAAAAATTAATAACACTTTATCTGTACCATTGTTCTCTGTTAAAGTGCTGTGTAGACAATTTTCGTTTTGGGGTTTCTAAGCACTTTGATCACCAAATAGTAATTTTGTCATTGAACTTCCATCTCTAAAGCCTCTCCCTTGGATTTCCTATGTTAATTATCCCAACAGCACTTTTAAGAGTTATGTACATGATGGAAATATACAAGCATGTTGTTTGCTTTCACCTCCTATTGACTGCAAACGAATTTGAATCAATTTTACATAAGAAAATAACCATTACTTTAAAAGATTTTAACTTTCCCTCACAGATTTAAGATTTATACAGATAACTTTACACGCATCTTTTCCCCTGTGGGAAATGAGAAAGATGAGTCAGGGTAACATGGGTGGTGGGGGAGGAAGAAGGCAAAGCATGGCCCATAGTGTAAATAGGGAGAAAGAGACATTAAGAAGAAAAGGACCAGATTGAGATTCCATCCTCTGGCATTATATTGTCCACGAATCTCTATTATCTAGCTTAATTTTACAGATACAGGATGAGGCCAGCCAGGTAGGGACAGGTTTCCTAAAACCCCTAACATTAGAGAAGCATCCTAGAGTGGATATTCAGCCTGCCCCTACTTCCCAGAATGAGGAATGAGGGCAGAATGAGGGCAGCTTGCAAATATAAATATTCAAACTCAGGCTTCTTTAGGGTTGGGTCCTAAAAACTTTCGCTGGGGTCTTGCTAGTTATCCTTACCCTCCCTAAGATTGCTGGGAAAATTTTCCCATAGTTCACACTAGATTAGAGTAGCCCAGAACTTTAATAAATTACATGCCCTGTCATTTATATGCTTTAACAGTGAATTGAACCCCTACTCAAATATACTTCCCTTAACTTCTAAAGCAATAGCATTGATTATAGCACACACAATTCTGAAAGGGCACAAATGTGCAATAACAACAATTATGTTTTAATTTTTGATTCATAGGTTTAAATGCTTTTAGTAAACTTTTTCCTCGGTTTTTGATAACTAGGCAAATGCTCACAAAGCTTCATAAATCTAGGTTATTATAATAATTCTTGTTAGCAATGATGCCAAAATGTCATTTTATTTTTATTTCAGATGTATACATATATTCATCTACATATATAATGCATATATATAATGTATATTGCATATACTTATATATACAACTGGGTGCATATATATATATAAAATTTGTGTGTGTATATATATACACACATATACACATTTGACAAACATATATGTTTGTATACATACACACATATATGTTTTTGTATATATACATAAATATACATTTGACAATATATATATGTTTGACAAACATATATATGTGTGTGTATATATATATATATATATATATATATATATATATATATATATATATATGGCAGCAACCTGCCTTAGAAATTTTCCTCTATGGATCACATTATACAAGCTGTTTTGCTTTCTCATGTGAGTCATCTGGTTTCAGAATAATAAAATCTTAGGAATGAAATAAAATTTAGTGGTCTTCTGGTAAAACTCACTGTTTTGGGGAGAAGAGGAGGGGAAGTAAACATATAAATTATACATAAATGACAAGACCTGTCAACCTGTTTGAATTGAACACCGATATATAAATAAAAATAATATATTAAGCCACTTAACAATTTACTTCAATCTAGACCAATAACTTAGCCAATGGAACTTACCCAATGGAAATCAATATATAAGATAATGAATATGCGCACCTGATACATAGCCATTATTGACTATGTACTGAAAGTTACACAAAAATGATATAGACATCACTGTTGTATTTAGGAAAAACAAAAGGAAGCTATGGCATTGGGAAGCCATTAGAGAAAAAACTAGCTTACAGTGGGTAGTACTGGCCACAAATAGAGTAGAACTACAAAAGGAAAACCTAAATGGGCTAGAATATCATGGGAGAAGAAAGGCATAAACTGGACTTGTAAGAATTGGGAGATTTTGATAGATAACTGGGTGAGCAAAAGTTATCTTTACAGTCAAATAAATTGAATTATATATACACAAATAAACTACATTTATAGTGCATTACAGCACATAGTAAGAATGTAATCTATATATTGATAAATAATAAATAAATAACATTTATGTGAGAAAATGGAAAATATAATGCCATTACACATTCTTGAGCAGGTTGCCAATCTGATAAAAAGAATGTTTTAAGACAGTTTGCCTAAGTTACAAGTTTAATGACACATGACCTCAGGATACTTAAGATAAGGATAAACAGGAGGCTGCCAGCTGATTTGGAAGTGAGGTGATAAAGACTAGGATAACATGATGGAAGTAAATATGGAGAATGAGAATGAAATATAAAATTTTAAAGAAAGAAATGCAAGACTTTGTATCCATACTTATGAGTGACTGAGGCATGGGTGGGGGCAAAATTGTATTGTCAAGGTTCACAGCTTAGTGGAGAGAATTCTGAATTTAAATGAAAGGGGTGGATTTTATTCTCTTGGGTGTAAGGTGGTTTTCCAAGGGTTGGAAATGTATTGTGTTTTTCATAATAATTTTAGGACCAAAATGCCCCTTAAAGTCTACTGAGTTTGAGATGATGGTACATATGTCCAGTAGAAGTAGAATAGTGGTAAGAGATGATTAGTTATAACTGATTATCTGGAAGGTCACTCTAATTTGGGAGTGACCAAAATAGAGGTGATAATTGAAGCCAAGGAAGTAGATACATTTTTATGTGCATGTTTGCTTTCAGATTTCAATGTCCATATTCCTTTCTGCTTCCGTAGTGTTATGTTACACAGGGCTTCATCTTTTCATTAACCAGCCGCCACCCAGGGTTAGTGTAAAACATATCACAACAGGGTTGAAGAGGGTCCATGGTGCTTCTGGCATCACTCTTGAATCCACTGCTGCACTCTTTAACTATAGAAACCTACTCTTGGGAAAAAAGCTAAGAGACATCATCATCTTATTACAAATCTTATCTAATATATTCTCAGCCATGAATATTTAAATTTTAAGCCTTATCAGTATTAGTGCACTTAAAGATTTTGTCCCCTGGTAAAGTCATTTCAAACATTTTTGAGTAGTTAAGTTTAGCCTAGGAGGTATGCCTCTGCAATCACACTAGAAGACAGTCTATGTTTAACTCTGAGCCCATGATAAATGACTCCTACAGAGCTAAATGTGAAGTAATAAGGCACTAACTTTCTTCCAAATTATTGAATATTTAATAAACTCTGCTTAATGCATTTTAAGTCTATGGCTATGGATTCTGAATTTTTGAAAATAACAATCTTAAACAATTTAAAATTGACCAATTTACCAGAAAAATCTTACTCTCCTTTTATGCCACAAAATTTGTTATGATGCTTTCAAAGGTATAGTAACTATAAAGATTCAAGGAACAAGGACAATCTGGTTATTTAAATATTAACCCACAGAATTATTCTTTGTCATTGATTATCAACACTTAATTCCACTTATTTTAATTTTATTTCAGTCTTCATATTCAATCTCGGTCTGACACTTTCTACATGAAGCCTGACATCATAAAGAGAAAAGATCCAAAGAGCATTCTCATGATATTTTGAATTACTATAATTTAAAAATTGATTTCTGTTATACAATGACCACCACAGGGGGAAAAATATTTTCTGTTTTGGTCAGTTGGGTTAGATTTGACATTGAGAATTTTTTGTTTGTCCATCTGTAATTTCATTGTAAAACCTTAAGGAACTTTGCTTTTCCTGATTATTAGCTGTAAGAATAAACATTGTTATATTTTGTAATTAAGCAATTATTTTTCTTTAAATGTTTTAGTGAGTACCTTTACAATGGGTTGCATGTAGAAGTTTCTCTAAATAAATTGAAATGACTCTAAAAAATGCCTGGAGCATGTGTAATCTGCAAACAAAACCAACAGTTATATTATGATGCAAGCATATAGTAGCTGTATTGCTTCTTAAATTATGATGTAATTTCATTTCTTTCATACCAATTATATTGGTACTAACCGAGCTCTGTGTAAAATGACAATCAAAGACTCTAACCCATTTACTGACAGACTATGCCTGGAGAAGTACAAAACAATATTGAATACTAGTTTTATTTGCTACTTATATTTATTTATGGAAAGTGGCAGCTATAATTAATGTAGTCAGAGTTCATAACATGTAAATGGGCTGCTAAAATATAGTGAAACTTGATATATTTCAAACATTGCAGTCAACATGCCTCATAGAGGCAGAATTATACCATGCATTCAACTCTAAAATGGCTCTCCATGGAGGTTTCAGCATCCATTTTGAATTACCATTGCTTCTTTGCATATTCAGAATGGTCCAAGTGAAATCCAGATTCAGTGGCTTTACTTGTTCTTCCAATGGTTTAATGGCAAGCAAAACCTAACAGGATTTCTGAAGTTAATATAAATTTGTTCTTCCTAGAGTCTTTCTCCATAGGTGAACCAAGTAATTTGTTTAAAGGACTGTCTAAACATAGAGGAAGAAAAACATAGCACTAAAATTACCAATCCCTCCAGGAAAAACAGAGGACTATGGAGTCATTAGATAATACACTAACAATAATAAATAACTTGCCAATTATTTACTGAGAGCTTCATATGTGGAAGGAATATAAAGATAGCTGTGAACTTAACTCTGTTAAAACAGTCTAGACAAAATAAATTTAGCAGAGTTTATGTACACAAAGAATGATTCATGAATTGGGCAGCACTCAGTACCAGAAGAGATTCAAAGAGCTCCTCTCTGCAATGTGGGCAGTGAGTGTTTGTAGACAGAAGAGAAAAGTAGAGAACTAGCTTGATTGATTATAGCTAGGCATTTACCTTATTTGAACATGGTCTATTAATAGTTGCAGCTTATGATTGGCTGAAACTAGGCAGTTTGTGATTGCTTGAGACCTGGCTATATGTTATGGAGGGAAAAAAAGCTCTTAAATTAGATTTTGGTTTGTTTGTATACTAAGTTGCAGTTTGTTAAGCAGGGACCCAAAGAGACAGCCTCTGGCCAAATTTAATTTAACAATTTAGACTGCAATTATGCAACTTAGAGATTGTAGAATATTGAACAGCAACAAGTCTTTGTAGCCAGAGAGACTAGGATTCAAGTCTTAAACAGTCCATTTACCAGCTGTGTAGACACAGTCATGTCTCTTAGCCTCCATAACACAATGCTTGCTTCTCCACTAAAAGGATGTATTACCTATATAGCAAGATTGTTTTCTGGCTTGAATAAGATAATATTTATAAAGTACCTAGCACAGCTTGATACATAGAAGGTAATAGAAAAAGCTGTGGTTTTGGTGTTATTACTGTTGTTACCCTTATTGATATTATTATCACAATATAGTGAGACAAATGCTCATGTAGCACAGTAACACAATATTAGGAATGTAAATGAGGCTCAGCCAGGTAGGATAAAAAGGATTTTACTATACAAAAAAAGGGTAAAATTGGGACAGAAGGGTGGGGAACACTAGACTAAGCAGAGTCATGTGACTTTGCATATGCCTTGCTTTGCCAAAAAAAAAAAAAATTGAGCAGAACATGTACCATATCTGAATGGAAGCATGCAAGAGCCAGAATAGAATGTTCCATGTTCACTTTTTCCAGACGTTTTCTTGAGGTACCGTTTGCCTGTGTCACTGACTAAGGAGAACATAAAACAGAATCCTTAGAGAAGTTTTGATAATTATGAAATAAATCTTTATAGTTTTATGCCACTGAGATTAATAGGTTGCTGGTTACCACAATATATTCTATCCAATCCTTGCCAATACAACCTCATTCATGGCAACTTTGAGGACTAAGTAAGGTAAAGAGATTACAAGGTAAAGAGAATTGTAAAAAATTGGGAATGAAACTATCAATGCCCAGGAAGATCCCAGAATATCACTATCAAGAGTACAGACTTATACGCAACATAAAACTATCGAATTTATTTTATGCACTTTTCATGCAGAGAGTTGGCATCTTGAATTTATGAGGGGTGATGTTTAACAAGTAAAAACCAGAGGTTGGAAGAAGCTTTTGCAATAGACAATAACAAAAGAAATAGGAATTGAAGGAAATAGGAAAGGAAGAATTTGAAAGGCTTCAAAGTATTGATAGAATATATGTTGGCTGGTTAAAGTTATAGGATACAGGACAGCAAAAATAAACTCTACAATCTCTGGCTGTGTTGGCTAGGTATATATTAATGAATTAACTGAACTAGGTAACAGGAAAATTATTAACCAAATGTATGTGCTTTTAAAAGCCTTTGGAAACTTAGGGATACTTATACAAATCATCCTGTATGTAGATAGTATAATATATTCTGGGAAATTATTAGGCCTAATTAAATAAGTGCATACACCTCATAAATGAATATCACAAATTGTTACTCAAAAACTTTGCATTGTCATTAATCCTTTACGAACTATTTGCAGTGAAATAAACAGGAAAAGTAGCCCAAATAGAATTGAGAGTAAATAATTATGAAGATGTCGATCATGGGTTCTGTGCCTAATGATTCCTGTAATTTCATTTAGAAACTATTTGCAGTGAGATATTAAATCAAAATTTGCTATATGTGTGCAAAGCATTGGTCTTCTAAAATAATTAAATGGAATATCATTTCTCTTCTGAAATATGTGTTATGATTAGCATGCATGCATAAACAATTTAAATAACAATGCAGTCTTTTGTGTCATTCTAATTGGATGAAAACAAAAATGTATTTAATCAGTAAAGAAATAAAAGTTATATTATAAAACTTTAATTGTTAAAATTCACTGTTTGAACGATCATTGGTCCTTCCTAGTAGACTTTGAGCTTATTAATTTCAGGGAATATATGGTTTTTCCTGTTGGAAACTTTAGCTCACAGTAAGTACTCAGTTAATGTTTGTTGTCACAGGGACTGACTCAATGACATATTTTGATGTAAAAGCATCATGGATGTTTTCATATGTCCAGCATAAATCTCCTGAGAAACAATTCTATGGTAATTCAGAGAACTACACATGAAATGAATAATAAATAATGAATGTTCCTATATATACCTGTAGTATCAGAATGTAATTATGCTCCAAAATAATAGCAAGTGCTTTAGAAAAGAGCTTCAAATTGTTAAGATATTAATTTGGAGCAATTTTGTTTTTCCCAATAATTTCCGATAACTGCATGTGGCCACACCATCTCACTCTGGGTAGCAGTCTTCATTATTAATAAATAAATCAGTCTCACTCCCTAACTTTTTGCTTTTTGGTTGTTTTTTAGAACAGTATAGTTCCATTTCAAATACGTAGTCTTGTTGCTTTAAAATCATCACCGTAATATTTGATTCTCACCTGACTTGTGCCCTCAACAGCTTGTCTATGCAGCAGCACTTCACCTGTTTTTGGACACATCCCTTTCCTTGTGTTAGCATCACTCAAAATCATTGTCTATTTGAGTATTTTGTTTCCTTTTGTTTTTACTAAAACATACGTCTTGACAAGGACTACATTTGATGTACACTTGATGTACTACTGATGGTCCTATGACTACATTTATTGACTGAAACTCAGCTGAGGCATCATTCCTGGTGGCCTCTTTTTTTTGCTACAATTCCAAGCAAGACTAGCCCCCAATCTTACCCACTTTCCATGATCCTAAAGTTTGCATAGAATGGGCACAAATAGTATCTCTATTCTATGTCACTTGGAAACTGAAATATTGAGGGAGTGGCCCTGAAACTCTTTTTGCCACACCTCTCCACCTCTTATCATCTCTTCTCAAGGCTCTCTTGCTCTGTCAGCGGCCCTCAGTTAGCAAGTTTGGCAACCCAGAGATATCCAATCAAGCACCTAAGATCAATAACTCTTGCTATATTTACTCCCTAATTTTATGAGCAATTTCATTTTCTTTTGGACTCCATACCTGACACATACATAGAGGAGATGTACCATTTTTTCCTTCTTCAGAGGAATGTAAGGGGAATGAATACTCTCTTCTCAAAAACACTGCATTTACTTAAAATGTGATTTTGCTCTACAAACTTCTCCTCTGCTGCCCACCTCTGCTGGCCAAGGAGTGTGGTGGGCTGTGGTAGTGTTAGCCCCCCGGCAGGGAAGTCTTTGCACCTCTGAGCAAAGACTGGTCATCCTCAAAATGTGAACTGTGGTGTTCCTCCTGCTGCCTGTTCTCAGCTATGATATCTGAGTTATTCATTCTTAAAAAGAGAATCACATTTGAAATTTAGTGTGATTCATCTTAAATTTGGATTACATGAAATTCCCAGTATTTGAGCTATAAAAATGGCAATGTCATAGCATAACCCTATCCATTGGTGTCTATCAGGACTTTTTTTTATTTTTTTATTTTTATTTATTTAATTTTTTTCAGGGTCTCACTCTGTCAATCAGGCTGGAGTGCAGTGGTACAATCGCAGCCCCCTGCAACTTCTGACTTCTGAATTCAAATGATCCTCCCACCTCAGCCTCTTGAGTAGCTGGGACTACAGGCATGCACCATCATGCCCGGCTAATTTTTTATATTTTTGGTAGAGATAGGGTTTCACGCTGTTGCCCAGGCTGGTCTGGTACTCCTGAGCTCAAGTGATCTGCCTGCCTCTTCCTTCCAGAATGCTGGGATTACAGGGATGATCAGCAACTATGCTCCATTCTATCAGGATTTTTAATCTCTTCATGTTTTGAACTGTGTGGGAATCAGTTAGAGAGAGGAGTTATTCTGAGAACATTTTCCGTGTTTCGTGATTGAAAACCATGAAATACAATGCAACTGCTGCTCATGATAATACACCAATCACCTCCACATACCCGGTTCCCTAATGGACTGGGGAGTTTCAATTTGATATAGTCTGACTATAGCAGATGTGCTACATGTGACAAATGGCAAACATATTGGAAATTCTCTATTAGAACAATGCTGCATCTGTGCTCTGAATTTACATAGTAAGACAGTGTCATCATCAATAGGAAGTGGTATAATAACCAAATAACTGCTTTCTATCTGTCCATTTACATTGTTACAACTTTAATTCAGTTTGAATTAAAGCCTTTCCATACCAAGAGAACAATTTATGTTGTAAGTTATTTCCCGATGCCATTTTTAGTTCCAAAATGAGTGAATCAAATGCCTGCCAGTTTCTCCTTGGAGAGTGTTGCCCTCAGACTCTATGACATGCATCTTCACAACATCTTTCCCATAAGGTGGATAGTAGGCCAGCTTGACTGTTAAAGTGGTTTCCAATTATATTATCATTGGGATAACCTCCCTCTAATCACTCCTTTATGAATGGATTTTATGATTTTTAATTTTATTGTAAAAACCTAAACATTTTATATTTTAAGATTGTATTTCTTGAATTAAATTTAAACTATAGTAATTTGCTCTCGAAAGAAATCAGATTTGTGGGAACACATCAGACATACCCCATAGCATAGGTAGTCTACATTATGAAGCTATTGATGCTCATTGTCCTGGGGTGATTAAGAAGAATTATGAAAACTTGTGAACCATTCAAACAATGATATGGCATATATGGTTTCTTATGATCTTCATGATTCTCTTTCCCATTAGTTAAATCATATTTACATTTATCTCAATAAAAATTTACCAGTGTGAAAAATAATGGAAAAAACTCTCAAATAACAAATTACAAGTTGTAATCAAAACTGTGGTTTGCTATTAGAAAATAAATTATTTTCTGTATATATGTACACACACCAAATTTAGTAATGATTGAAAATAAAACACTCATGTTGGCTGTATACTTTGGATACTGCTTTCCTTTGACTTTATAATAAGCATTTTTTTCTTCACAGATTTTCTTAATTGTTGTTTTCCATTCTGAGATATCTATATAGTAATTGTGAAATGTCTATTCTGAATAATTCATTTAAAGAACTGCATCAACTGATGCAGGGGGTATAATATTAAAAAATAAAAGTATGCTTTTAAACTAGGAGTAGAAAACTTAACTTTCTTAACTAGAACTAAAATTAACTACCAGAGTATTCTTATAAGGTAGCATATAATGCTAATAGAGATTTAAGTAAATGAGTGAGTATAAAACAACCCTTCAACTGTCTTTCCAAGAAGACTCTGTTAGCTGAAGCTTATTAGATAAGAGCAGAAGTTTTTTTTCTTTTTTATTTTCAATAAAAAATTATTCTATATATAATAGTTTCCCCTCACTATTCTGTAATAGCTTACCCCCATTTTACATATAATAGAACATATTATGCATGTTTATTCTGTATATAATAGCTTTTCTTTATTCTTGCATATAATCATTCTATGTAATAGTTTCATTTTATATATGTTTTATATTATATACTATATACCATGTATAATATATATGTTGTATTAGTTAGGGTTCCCTAGAGGGATCGAACTAATAGGGGACTAATATTATTGGGTATAATACTTAATATTATTCAGTATTAACTCACATGATCACAAGGTTCCACAATAGGCTGTCTACAATCTAAGGAGCAAGGAGAGCCAGTCCAAGTTCCAAAACTGAAGAACTTGGAGTCTGATGTTTGGGGGCAGGAAGGGTCCAGCATGGGAGAAAGATGTAGACAGGGAGGCTACGCCAGTCTAATCTCTCCACGTTCTCCTGCCTGCTTTTGTACTGGCAGATGTCTAGATTGTGCCCACCCAGATTAAGGGTGTGTCTGCCCTTCCCAGGCCACTGACTCAACTGTTAATCTCCTTTGGCAACACCCTCACAGGCACACCCAGGATCAATACTTTGCATCCTTCAATCCAATCAAGTTGACACTCAGTATTAACCCTCACATATGCAGTGGTAGATCATTCTATATATAATAGTTTTTCCCCATTATGCATATAATATGATGTCAGAATTTTTATGATCATTTTATCCAATAAATTAGCTCTGGAGCTATTTATGGCTTACTTATTTATTTCTTGTAGAGACAGGATCTTGCTCTGTCAACCAGGCTGGAGTGCAGTGGGGTGAACATACATCTCTGTAACCTCAAACTCCTGGGCTCAAATGATCCTCTTACCTCAGCCTCCCAAACAGCTAGCACTACAGGTGCATGCCACCACACTAAGCTATTTATTTATTTATTTATTTATTTTTACAGACAGGGTCTCACTATGTTGCCCAGGCTGATTTCGATCTTTGGTCCTCAAGTAATTCCCCCTGCCTCGGCCTCTCAAAGTGCTGGGATTAAGGGATGAGCCACCATGTCCAGCCTTTTAGCATATTTAAATTGAAGCTAAATATTCAGTATCTAGATAAGCAAGGTTTTCGTTATATTTCAAAAATCCATGCCTACATAAGTCCAATATCTATTCTTGCTATTCTTTATATTATGTTTCCCCTTATGATAATTTGGTAATGGTCTGGCCCCATATGATAGGGAATAATTGGTTTCTTAAGGAGTAATTAGTTTTATTAACACTCAATAAAAATGTGTTCTGACTGACATAGATGTCATTGTCAAGAAAATTAAGTTATAAAAACCATAAAATAAAGCATACGTACTTACACTATGTGAAGAAATAATAAAAAAACAGATATTGATTTGATAATACTTAAAGAGTACGGTATTGTCAATATTTAACCAACTAGTTTCTCTATCTAGTCAGCTAGAGATCCAGATCTGCTTCTGGAAATGTATCTACAAATTGAAGACTATTAGAGACTTAAGTTCGAACTCTCCAAATTCTTCAAACATTTGCTCAATATGACTAATTATAAAATTGCAATAATTCACTTTATGTATTCCTCATGTAATTAGTTCTGGGGGTATTCAGAAGTGACAAAATTCTGTCTGGAAGATACACATTCATCACATATCGTACATTTTGAGATTGTGGGATCCATTTTGAAGAGTGCAATCTAAAATTCTTCACAGTACAAAATCTTCACACTCAAACATTCTAGGCATATGCACTGTGTTTGACTACTGAATGGTTTCTTTTTTTAAATTGGAAATTTTTTTTTTATTATTATACTTTAAGTTCTAGGGTACATGTGCACAACTTGCAGGTTTGTTACATATGTATACATGTGCCATGTTGGTGTTCTGCACCCATTAACTCATCATTTACATTAGGTATATCTCCTAATACCATCCCTCCCCCTTCCCCCCACCCCACAACAGGCCCCGGCATGTGATGTTCCCCTTCCTGTGTCCAAGTGTTCTCATTGTTCAATTCCCACCTATGAGTGAGAACGTGTGGTGTTTGGTTTTTTGTCCTTGCAATAGTTTGCTGAGAATTATGGTTTCCAGCTTCATCCATGTCCTTACAAAGGACATGAACTCATCCTTTTTTATGGCTGCATAGTATTCCATGGTGTATATGTGCCACATTTTCTTAATCCAGTCTATCACTGATGGACATTTGGGTTGGTTCTAAGTCTTTGTTATTGTGAATAGTGCCACAATAAACATATGTGTGCATGTGTCTTTATAGCAGTATGATTTATAATCCTTTGGGTATATACCGAGTAATGGGATGGCTGGGTCAAATGGTATTTCTAGTTCTAGATCCTTGAGGAATCGCCACGCTGATTTCCACAATGGTTGAACTAGTTTACAGTCCCACCAACAGTGTAAAAGTGTTCCTATTTCTCCACATCCTCTCCAGCACCTGTTGTTTCCTGACTTTTTAATGATCGCCATTCTAACTGGTGTGAGATGGTATCTCATTGTGGTTTTGATTTGTATTTCTCTGATGACCAGTGATGAGCATTTTTTCATGTGTCTGTGGACTGCATAAATGTCTTCTTTTGAGAAGTGTCTGTTCATATCCTTCGCCCACTTGTTGAAGGGGTTGTTTTTTTCTTTAAGTTTGTTTGAGTTCTTTGTAGATTCTGGATATTAGCCCTTTGTCAGATGAGTAGATTGCAAAATTTTTCTCTCATTCTGTAGGTTACCTGTTTACTCTGATGGTAGTTTCTTTTGCTGTGCAGAAGCTCTTTAGTTCAATTAGATCCCATTTGTCAATTTTGGCTTTTGTTGCCATTGCTTTTGGTATTTTAGACATGAAGTCCTTGCCCATGCCTATGTCCTGAATGGTATTGCCTAGGTTTTCTTCTAGGGCTTTTATGGTTTTAGGTCTAACATTTAAGTCTTTAATTCATCTTGAATTAATTTTTGTATAAGGTGTAAAGAAGTGATCCAGTTTCAGCTTTCTACATATGGTTAGCCAGTTTTCCCAACACCATTTATTAAATAGGGAATCCTTTCCCCATTTCTTGTTTTCATCAGGTTTGTCAAAGATCAGACGGTTGTAGATGTGTGGTATTATTTCTGAGGGCTCTGTTCTGTTCCATTGGTCTATATCTCTGTTTTGGTACCAGTTCCATGCTGTTTTGGTTACTGTAGCCTTGTAGTATAGTTTGAAGTCAGGTAGGGTGATGCCTCCAGCTTTGTTTTTTGGCTTAGGATTGACTTGGCAATGCAGGCTCTTTTTTGGTTCCATATGAACTTTAAAGTAGTTTTTTCCAATTCTGTGAAGAAAGTCATTGGTAGCTTGATGGGGATGGCATTGAATCTATAAATTACCTTGGGCAGTATGGCCATTTTCATGATATTGATTCTTCCTATCCATGAGCATGGAATGTTCCTCCATTTGTTTGTGTCCTCTTTTATTTCGTTGAGCAGTGATTTGTACTTCTCCTTGAAGAGGTCCTTCACATCCCTTGTAAGATGGATTCCTAGGTATTTTATTCTCCTTGAAGCAATTGTGAATAGGAGTTCACTCATAATTTGGCTCTCCATTTGTCTGTTATTGGTGTATAAGAATGTGATTTTTGCACATTGATTTTGTATCCTGAGACTTTGTCAAAGTTGCTTATCAGCTTAAGGAGATTTTGGGCTGAGACGATGGGGTTTTCTAAATATATAATCATGTCATCTGCAAACAGGGACAATTTGACTTCATCTTTTCCTAATTGAATTCCCTTTATTTCTTTGTCCTGCCTGTTTGCCCTGGCCAGAAGTTCCAACACTATGTTGAATAGGAGTGGTGAGAGAGGTCATCGCTGTCTTGTGCCAGTTTTCAAAGGGAATGCTTCCAGTTTTTGCCCATTCTGTATGATATTGGCTGTGGGTTTGTCTTAAATAGCTATTATTATTTTGAGATATGTCCCATCAATACCTAATTTATTGAGAGTTTTTAGCATGAAGTGCTGTTGAATTTTGTCAGAGGCCTCTTCTGCATCTATTGAGATGATCATGTGGTTTTTTGTCTTTGGTTCTGTTTATATGCTGGATTACATTTATTGATTTGTGTATCTTGAACCAGCCTTGCATCCCTGGGATGAAGCCCACTTGATCATGGAGATCATGGTGGATAAGCTTTTTGATGTGCTGCTGGATTCAGTTTGCCAGTATTTTATTGAGGATTTTTGCATCAGTGTTCATCAGGTATATTGGTCTAAAATTCTCTTTTTTTGTTGTGTCTCTGCGAGGCTTTTGTATCAGGATGATGCTGGCCTCATAAAATGAGTTAGGGAGGATTCCCTCTTTTTCTATTAATTGGAATAGTTTCAGAAGGAATGGTACCAGCTCCTCCTTGTACCTCTGGTAGAATTCAGCTGTGAATCCATCTGGTCCTGGACTTTTTTTGGTTGGTAAGCTATTAATTATTGCCTCAATTTCAGAGCCTGTTATTGGCCTATTCAGGGATACAACTTCTTCCTGGTTTAGTCTTGGGAGGGTGTATGTGTTCAGGAATTTATCCATTTCTTCTAGATTTTCTAGTTTATTTGCATAGAGGTGTTTATAGTATTCTCTGATGGTAGTTTGTATTTCTGTGGGATCAGTGGTGATACCCCCTTTATCATTTTTATTGCATCTATTTGATTCTTCTCTCTTTTCTTCTTTACTAGTCTTGCTAGCATCCTATCAATTTTGTTGATCTTTTCAAAAAACCACCTCCTGGATTCATGGATTTTTTGAAGGGTTTTTTGTGTCTCTATCTCCTTCAGTTCTGCTCTGATCTTAGTTGTTTCTTGCCTTCTACTAGCTTTTGAATGTGTTTGCTCTTGCTTCTCTAGTTCTTTTAATTGTGATGTTAGGGTGTCAATTTTAGATTTTTCCTGCTTTCTCTTGTGGGCATTTAGTGCTCTAAATTTCCCCCTACACACTGCTTTAAATGTATCCCAGAGATTCTGGTATGTTGTGTCTTTGTTCTCATTGGTTTCAAAGAACATCTTTATTTCTGCCAACATTTCCTTATGTACCCAGTAGTCATTCAGGAGCCGGTTGTTCAGTTTCCATGTAGTTGAGCAGTTCTGAGTGAGTTTCTTAATCCTGAGTTCTAGTTTGATTGCACTGTGGTCTGAGAGACAGTTTGTTATACTTTCTGTTCCCCTCTTTGCTGAGGAGTGCTCTACTTCCAACTATGTGGTCAATTTTGGAATAGGTGTGGTGTGGTGCTGAGAAGAATGTATATTCTGTTGATTTGGGGTGGAGAGTTCTATAGCTGTCTATTAGGTCTGCTTGGTGCAGAGCTGGGTTCAATTCCTGGATATTCTTGTTAACTTTCTGTCTCATTGATCTGTCTAATGTTGACAGTGGGGTGTTAAAGCCTCCCATTATTATTGTGTGAGAGTCTAAGTCTCTTTGTAGGTCTCTAAGGACTTGCTTTATGAATCTGGGTGCTCCTGTATTGGGTGCATACATATCTGGAAAAGTTAGCTCTTCTTGTTGAAGTGATCCCTTTACTATTATGTAATGGTCTTCTTTATGTCTTTTGATCTTTGTTGGTTTAAAGTCTGTTTTATCAGAGACTAGGATTGCAACCCCTGCCTTTTTTTGTTTTCCATTTGCTTGGTAGATCTTCCTCCGTCCCTTTCTTTTGAGCCTGTTTGGCTCTGTATGTGAGATGGGTTTCCTGAATACAGCATACTGATGGTTCTTGACTCTTTATCCAATTTGCCAGGCTGTGTCTTTCAATTGGAGCATTTAGCCCATTTACATTTAAGGTTAATATTGTTATGTATGAATTTGATCCTGTCATTATGATGTTAGCTGGTTCTTTTGCTAGTTAGATGATGCAATTTCATCCTAGCATCTATGGTCTTTACAAATTGGCATGTTTTTGCAGTGGCTGGTACTGGTTGTTCCTTTCCACGTTTAGTGCTTCCTTCAGGAGCTCTTTTAGGGCAGGCCTGGTTGTGTCAGAATCTCTCAGTGTTTGCTTGTCTGTAAAGGATTTTATTTCTCCTTCACTTAGGAAGCTTAGGTTGGTTGGATATGAAATTCTGGGTTGAAAATTCTTTTCTTTAAGAATGTTGAATATTGGCCCCCACTCTCTTCTGGCTTATAGAGTTTCTGCCAAGAGATCTGCTGTTACTTTCATTGGTTTCCCTTTGTGGGTAACCCGACCTTTCTCTCTGGCTGCCCTTAACATTTTTTCCCTCATTTCAACTTTGGTGAATCTGACAATTATGTGTCTTGGAGTTGCTCTTCTTGAGGAGTATCTTTGTGGCGTTCTCTGTATTTCCTGAATTTGAATGTTGGCCTGCCTTGCTAGGTTGGGGAAGTTCTCCTGGATAATATCCTGCAGAGTGTTTTCCAACTTGGTTCCATTCTCCCTGTCACTTTCAGGTACACCAATCAGATGTAGATTTGGTCTTTTCACATAGTCCCATATTTCTTGGAGGTTTTGTTCATTTCTTTATACTCTTCTTTCTCTAAACTCCTCTCGCTTCATTTCATTCATTTGATCTTCAATCACTGATACCCTTTCTTCCAGTTGGTTGAATCGGCTGCTGAAGCTTGTGCATTTGTCGCATAGTTCCCGTGCCATGGTTTTCAGCTCCATCAGGTCATTTAAGGACGTCTCTATACTGGTTATTCTAGTTAGCCATTCGTCTAATCCTTTTTCAAGGTTTTTAGCTTCTTTGCGATGGATTTGAACTTCCTCGTTTAGCTCGGAGAAGTTTGATCGTCTGAAGCCTTCTTCTCTCAACTCGTCAAAGTCATTCTCTGTCCAGCTTTGTTCCATTGCTGGTGAGGAGCTGCGCTCCTTTGGAGGGGGAGAGATGCTCTGATTTTTAGAATTTTCAGCTTTTCTGCCCTGTTTTTTCCCCATCTTTGTGGTTTTATCTACCTTTGGTCTTTGATGATGGTGACGTACAGATGGAGTTTTGTTGTGGATGTCCTTTCTGTTTGTTAGTTTTCTTTCTAACAGTCAGGACCCTCAGCTGCAGGTCTGTTGGAGTTTGCTGGAGGTCCACTCCAGGCCCTGTTTGCCTGGGTATCAGCAGCGGAGGCTGCAGAACAGCGAATATTGCTGAACAGCAAATGTGACTGCCTGATTGTTCCTCTGGAAGCTTCATCTCAGAAGGGTACCTGGCTGTGTGAGGTGTCCTTCTGCCCCTACTGGGGTGTGCCTCCTAGTTAGGCTACTTGGAGGTCAGGGACCCACTTGAGGAGGCATTCTGTCCGTTCTCAGATCTCAACCTCCACGGTGGGAGAACCACTACTCTCTTCAAAGCTGTCACACAGGGACATTTAAGTCTGCAGAGGTTTCTGCCACCTTTTGTTCGGCTATGCCCTGCCCCCAGAGGTGGAGTCTACAGAGGCAGGCAGGTCTCCTTGAGCTGCGGTGGGCTCCACCCTGTTCGAGCTTCCCGGCCCCTTTGTTTACATACTCAAGCCTCAGCAATGGCAGATGCCCCTCCCCTAGCCTTGCTGCTGCCTTGCAGTTCGATTTCAGACTGCTGTGCTAGCAATGAGTGAGGCTCCGTGGGCGTGGAACCCTCCGAGCCAGGCGCGGGATATAATCTCCTGATATGCTGTTTGCTAAGACCATTGGAAAAGTGCAGTATTAGGGTGGGAGTGACCTGATTTTCCAGGTGCCATCTGTCTCAGCTTCCATTGGCTAGAAAAGGGAATTCCCTGAACCCTTGTACTTCCTGGGTGAGGCGATGCCTCGCCCTGCTTCGGCTCATGCTCGTTGGGCTGCACCCACTGTCCTGCACCCACTGTCCGTCAAGCCCCAGTGAGATGAACCCAGTACCTCAGTTGGAAATGCAGAAATCACCCATCTTCTGTGTTGCTCACGCTGGGAGCTGTAGACTGGAGCTGTTCCTATTGGGCCATCTTGGAACTGCGCTGAATGGTTTCATAACAAATAAAAGCTGAGGGTTAAATATTCCACCAAAAAATAATCCACAAGAAAAATGTAAACGTGATAACTTTTAAAATTCTACTTTTAAAATCAGGATTAATATCAATACTGAAGATATATTAAGAATAAAACACATTTTAATAAGGTTTAAATATCAAATAATCTAGTCAATTTCTAATCTGAAACAATCATCACTGTTAGAAATATCTAAAAATCAGAAAAAAAGATGTGACTGTCCTCTCTGAAACTGATTTTCCCTTAGACTTTGACAGACATTGGAAGAAAAATTCAATCAATTAGAAAAGAACAATGTAGCCAAATTGTTTCTAATAAGAGACTGGACACATCTTTTGGAAAGACAATTCTGCATAAAAAGTCTAAAGCAAGGTGCTATTTATTTCTATTTGCCTTCTGCATATATTCTTTACCTACATCAATCAGGCTGAGATACTTTGTAAATGAAAGTATATGAAGTTGGTTTACAACATAGCCCTCAATTAAATAAGATACCATTACTTGGTTTTTAAAATGGAAAAGCTACTTGGAGACTGAAAAATGCAAAATGCTAACCTCCAATGAGTCAATAGGACCTCCTACTCAGTTTCTGGTTTTGGGGAGTTTGAATGTTAAGAATCTTAACGATACAATTCTAAATGAAACAAAGTCCAGAGTCCTCACTGTATAATGTTCAGAGCAGACCAATATTGAAGAAAGACTCTCATATGGAATTACAAAAGCTAGGTCATTCTTGAACGTTTATAGAGGCAAAGAACCATTAAATATTTTCTTAAAGATTGTTTATGCTCTTTGTTAAACTTCTTTAAATACAACATCTTTTATATAGGTAAAAATGTTTTTACAATTTCTTGCTTAAGTTTGTTTTAAAAGCTCTCAGATCGTTCAATGAAAAGCTTCAAATTGCTTTATTCTTTTGTGTATTTGCTGCTGCATATAAATTATAAAGCTTCAAAATCAGTAAATCTAAGCAGACTAATATCTCATCAATTTATAAATTATACTTAGTAAATCACAAGCTTTTACTATTTATTTGTAAAATTTATGTGTACTAAACATTTACAGTTGTCAACTTAAAAATTACTTTTTAGCTAATCAGATGTTATAGACTGAAAGTAGAATGTTGCCTTTTGAACATTTGAAAACTAGCTGATAAGAAACACAGAAGATATCATTTGCAATGCAAAGCACAATTTTATTACAGTACTTACAGCATAGATATTGAGTTCTTTATTGGAAGTATTTCATACAGTTTTTCTTTCACCCTTCATGATCATTCATCTTTGAATAAATGCTACAATATTTTATTCTTACAATTTCCCAGGGAATGAAAAAATGTAGTCAATGTGGTAAACTCTGAATTAAATTGGAGTTGCCAAATATATCTTCTAATTTAGGTACCTGTTGGTATTTGCAATGGGTTATAATACCTTTAGCTTGATTTTTTTTGTATGTGTTTTTTTTTTTTTGGCATGTGTAATATTTCTCCTTTAAGAAAATGTGAAAATAATGTTTTTGTCATTTGAAACAAATAGTTTATTCTGACTGGTAGTTGTAACTTATTAAACTTCAATACATGGACTCTAAAGCAAAAAATGATTGCATTAATTCATCTTGAATATATCCTAAAAATAGTGAAAATGGAAGTGGGGAAAACTCTGCAACTAATCTGTTCTATCCCCTGAGGCTATAATAAAATTGTCCTATGAAACATATCCTCTAGTGTTTTATCCTCCCCCATATTAAACCATTAAATGGCCACCATTCAAGATATACTAAGTAATTGCCATGTGGGACTCAGCACAAAATGTGGACATAGCAGATCTCCTGTCTTTAGAATCAGCTTTTAAGCTGATTATTTAATCACATATACAAATACCATAACCAGCAGATACTGTCATGTATAAATTTGCTTTTCTAGTTGTAATTTAAGCATTTGTAGAGCAGAGTTTGGGCATATATGATCTGAGGGTCAAATCCAGCACCACTAACTATTTTTGTAAACAAAGTTTTATTAGAACACAGTCACAATCATTCATTTACATATTGTCTGTGCCCACTATTGCACTCCAATGACAAAATCGACCTGTTCTGACAGAAGCCGAATTACTCACAAAGCCAAAAATATTTACTGTTTGGCCTTTGACAAAGAAACTTTGCTGATTCCTGGTGTAGAAGTCCTACATGAGCAGAATGAAGACCGGCTTGCTTTTCTCATCCAAAATATTGTATCCCTTTTTATGTAGTGCATAATTCCGCATTTGTCAAAATTATGTGAACTCATGATACTACTAGTTCCTTTCATTTCACAATTAATCACCAATTGAGATATATTTAGTAGTGTAGATTTATAATTATTTAATATTTGTAATTTTTTTTTTGAGACTGAGTCTCACTGTGTCACCTAGGCTGTAGTACAGTGGCGCAGTCTTGGCTCACTACGACCTCCACCTCCCAAGTTCAAGTGATTCTCCCGCCTCAGCCTCCAAGTGGCTGGGATTACAGGTGCGAGCCACCACACCAGGCTAATTTTTGTATTTTTAGTAAAGATGGGGTTTCACTATGCTGGCCAGGCTGGTCTTGAGCTCCTGGCCTCAAGTGATCTGCCTGCCTCGCCCGCCCAAAGTGCTGGGGTTACAGGCATGAGACACCATGCCTGGCCAAATGTTTGTAATTTTAATTAAAATAATTTATGCTCTTATTTCTCCCTGACTAGGTGACGTTCATGTAAAGAGCAGTGACTAAGCCTTAAGCTTTGTCATCCTGCCTCCAGTGCATAACATTGTGCTTTATACAAAACAGAAATTCAATTAATACGTGTTGCAATGATATCATTTACATTTCAAATAAAGTTTTCTAAAAGATGGAATTTGGACATATTTTGAAAAGCGAATCACTTTATTTCTGTAATTTTATTAGAGTTCCATAAATTAGTTAGCATTTAAATGATTATTTGAAATGCAAATATCCAATGGAATAAACTCCAAATAGTGTTTAAAAATGAGCTTCTACAATAAAAACTTTTGGGGGTAATAGAGTAGAGAAGTTCTGTTTTGACCTAGTCTGCAACCCACTATTCATTAATTCTCACAATCCCCTTAGATCATTTAGATCAAGAATACTTAAAAGTCGTCTTTCAAGTACTGTTGAATCCCTACAGGTTTTACCTATACAGTGATGTTTTATTTTTTTAAAAAGCAACTTTTCCTTTCACTTTCCTGCAAAGTTGAATTCTTTTATTAAGAACACAAGAAAGCTTTCACCATGGATATTACATGCATATAGCCCCTTTAACATTGTAAGGGATGAAAGTTCATGCATGATGCTCTCAGCTGGAGTAGTCACATCTGGAGTGGGGGAGAGAGAGGTCACTGCTTTAATTCTAGAACATTTTCTTTAGCAGTCTTTGACATTGACTTACATCACTTGAAATGTGAACATATTTGCAATTTAAAGGGGTTAGATGAAATGTCTAAAGACTAATAAACAGTGAATATTAATAAAATTCTAGTTGTTTGAAATCAATTATGTAAATATATATTTTTAAATTTGCAACTTAAATTTTGATATTAAATTGTTACAATTACATGGATACTTTTATTTTATATTTTCTGCTTATTTTAACATTGGAAGAGATTTGCCCTAGCCAGATGCAATTATTATCAGTTTTTGATTTTCTGAACATGTTCTAAGAGCCGTTTTCTATTGCTAGAAGCATGAGGATCATGAGGCTACATTGTAAAGCTTCCAGCAGTCTAGCTGCCTGAGAGAATTAGAAAAGGGATCCGGGCCTGCTATATCTCAACCTATCCAAGTAATGAGAAAATGTAGTACGTGACCACACTCTCACAAGGCCACCTAGATTAACCATGACATGGATCCTTTGCAATGGTGTCAATCCTCAGAACCACTAGCTTTCCTGGCTCTCCCCTCACCATTAAAGACAGCTAGAAAAAGACCACCATCACTTTTTTGTATGTTCAATTTTCAGTTTAGAAAACATGGTTAAAATTAGAAGAATCCTCCCCTAAGTAGTAATTATAGGGACCTTTAAAAAAAATGAAAAAGATTAACAAAAGTCTATTCATAAAGCAAAATTGTGGTGAATATCACAGACTAATGATGAAATATAAGTTCTCAGAACTTCCCCATTTTGTTGTTTCATATCACTCAAGAGATAGAATATTAAAAATAGATTCACTTAATTTAGAAAAGAATTAAAAAGATATGTGGCGGGAGTTCATTTTAAGTTACACTTCCTAAGATTTAATACCCAGTTTTGTCATATTTTGTCCTGCAGTCACACATTCAAGTGCTGTCAGAGGACTTGAGAAGCAGGCAGGTATGGGCCGGGCGCGGTGGCTCACGCCTGTAATCCCAGCACTTTGGGAGGCAGAGGCGGGCAGATCATGAGGTCAGGAGATCGAGACCATCCTGGCTAGCATGGTGAAACCCCGTCTCTAATAAAAATACAAAACATTAGCCGGGCATGGTGGCAGGTGCCTGTAATCCCAGCTACTCAGGAGGCAGGAGAATCACTTGAACCTGGGAGGCAGAGGTTGCAGTGAGCCGAGATCATGCCACTGCACTCCAGCCTGGGCGACAGAGCAAGACTCTGTCTCAAAAAAAAAAAAAAAAAAAAAAAAAGAGAGAGAGAAAGAAAGAGAAAGCAGGCAGGTATGATGCTAGGGTAGGAGAAGATGTGTTTGCCTTTTCTTGTTTTCCACTTACTCACTTCAGAGAAGGGCCTGGTGTATTCATAGTTTAACTAGCTATCTCTGCCAAAAAGCTTCCTAAATCTATGAATAAATGATTCCTGAAGAAGGTGACTTTCACGGGTATTTTCCATCTTGTGGCTCTTTTGGGAAATAAAAGAGCACATTTATGGTATTTTTCTCAAATCGAACCGAAGCAGTTATTTGTCATGAATGATGTTTTTGGAATTGCACTCTGGGTTGCTTAGGATTACAGGTTGCTTAGGACATATATGGCAGTAGAGCAAAAAGCAACAAATATGACAAAAATTAAGACAAAGAACTGCATGGCCACACGGAATAGTGTTGATACATTTTGAAACATTAGAAGACTGCAGGTAAAGCCATAGAAATAGAATTATTTTCACAGATGTCCATGGTTTTTAGGAGGCAACAACTGACAGGACTTCTAAAGGCAAAAACCTTTATCTTCTAAGTGCAATGTTTGTGTTTCAACTTCAGAATGACTCATTTGAGAGGATGGTTACCCCCGACCACAATTTGAAGAATTTAAGCATTATCTTCACAAATTTCATCATACTTTTCAACAAAAGAGAAAGTAGATGTAGGATTTTGCCTTACAGACATAAAGGAAAGCAATGTTTTGAAACATGTTTGTCAAACTTTTCTGCACCTTCGAGTCACCTGGGAAACTTGTTAACACGTGCAGGTAATTCTGATTCAGCAGGTCTGGATGGGGCTGGGATTTTTTTTTTTTAGAAGCTCTCAGGTGGGGCTGAGGCTGCTGGTGTGAGAAGCACATTTTAATTGGCCAGGTTTAAAAGGCCTTCTAATGTCTTAGTGGTTAAGATTAGTGTCCTGCAGGTCATTTTCTGCATAGCTACAACTATATATTGATGTCATATACGCTCCTGTAACTCTCCTTTAGTTGGCAAATTGAGCTACATCAATTTGCAGAACAGCTCTATGTCCTATTGACTATTTTTTAAAGGAGTCTAGAAATCTTCAGGCAGAAACCAAATAATTCGTAAGACTTTAATACGGTAATATATCCTGGAACATTTAATTACTCTCTTTTTACCTTTTGGTTTTTTCCATGTTGAGCCACTGACAAGTGTTTCCTGAGGGATACAAACCCTACACATGTTCTGTGTGGGGGTAAGACATATGGGTCAATATTTTGTTGATACAGAACAAGGTTTGTGTTTCTGTTTGATGAGTAACACATTTGCAATACAAGTTTGTTTGTTTGCTTGTTTGTTGTAAAGGAAGATTTCCCAGATTTAGTAAAATCTCTCCCCAACTACACAGAAAACAAAACAAAACAAAACAAAACAAAAACAAAGATGCTGAATCAATTCCCATGCCTTGATACACTTTGACAATGATATGTTGGAGTTAGGTGGATAGCTTATTTTTACTTTTGCTAGTTTGATTTATTTCATGTCTTTTCTAAATGAATATTGAGCTTATAGGCTATTACAGTTATTTTTAAACTTCTATGCCTTATGCTGAATTTCACCATTGAAACTTTCTTTCAAACATATTCCATTTTCCAGCATAAATTACTATCAAGAAGTTAATCTTCTTACCAAAATATAGTTTAAAACTCAACTCAAAATATTCTAACACAGTACAAATATTTACTGTGAGAAACTAGCAAAACATAGAATGAAAGATTGCTAGATATAATCTTTATTTAAAATGGTTTAATTAAAATAAAATTTAAAAATTCAAATTCTAAAATAGCCATAGAATTATTTAATATTGATTATGAGAGGATATGTGTCTGGCAGGGCATTATATTTTGATGACACCAAGTGAAGATAAAAAAGAAATACAAATGCTGCACATGCTGTAAGAATAATAAAACATAAGACTTTTATTGTGTAGAATGTTCATCTTTTTTATTAAGGAAAAATAGCAAGGCTACTTTTAGAGAAACCAGTTAAAATTTATAAAGTTTAACTAACATTTTGAATAACCATTTAACTATATACCAAAAAAGCTAGTACAAAGGGAAAACTCAGGACATGAATATGTATACATTGTAGGTTTTAAACATGCACTTAGAGGCTTGAACTATATATTTGTCACACATAATGCCAGGTGGGAAATCATTAAAAAGAGACCCATTCAGATTTTTTCGTGGCCAAAAAAATCTATGTAATGTTATCATACAAGTTCCACAGAACTTACAATAGTTTTCATGATTCTGGCCAAAAGGAAAAATTGGTTTTCAATTTGGATACCAATTAAGAATTTAGTTGCTTCCCAAAATATTATAAATCACAGCTCCCTTTGTTCAGAATCACAGGATACAAGACACTGAAAGGATATACACAGCAAGGCAATGTGCCTCAGAAATAGAAACAGAAAAGCACAAACCAGCAGACATGAAAGCAGGCTGAGACACAGCAAGAAGACAGAAGAACCTGGAGGAGGTGGAAGAATAGTCCTGGAGCAAGAATTGGAAGAACATTTCTAACAATAGTGGCTTACTCGAGGTTTAGCGAGTGAGTGGGAAATATATAGGGATGTTTGGGCTTGGATATTTAACAGTCAAATTTTGTTAGGTATATTTATGCTAAAATCAGTTGTATCATAATATATACATTTCTAATTTCATTGAGTGTTTTAAGTAACAGATCAGATCACTTATGTTGCTCATAAAATTCCGAGTCAAAGAGCCCCTCCAAGCATTGTTAAAAATAATGAGTATGCATCATATGCACTTCATCCACCTTCTGCAGTTGAGTTTTGTGCCAGGAATTAATAGCTCTCTGTATTGAGTGTTTTTGCTATAAAATTTGATTTGCCATTTCTGCTTTCATATGTTATTATAATGAGATGAAAATCATAGTTTTGCTAAGAATTTTTAGATTTGTCTCTATTGCCTGTGTATTTCCAAATTTAGTTGTGTTTTATTAAATCTAAGAAAACAGAAAAAACTTTCCTTAACAGTCATCATTTCTAATTATATAGGTATTAACAAAAATACTTTTTTTTATTAAAATTCCCACCTTTATATTCTAGCTTCTGTTAGACAGTTGAAAGTTGATGGCAGCACCGGTACTAAAAAGTGATTCCTGCAGGAATTTTTCCTAGATTTATAAAGCCCATCCTTACACAAACTGCAGAAAATGCATCACAACCTTTTCCTTTTATCTTCATATAATCTCGAGTCACCAAGGAAAAGGAGCTCTGACTCTCATCTCATGTCCTTTTTTTTTTTCATCGCCTATTTGGGGTCATTATCCCTGAAGGTGGAAAGCGTGTATAAAGACCTACACAACATACTGGTCTGTAATATTAATCCACTACTCTTGCATTGACAAATACATCTAACGATCTTCAAAAAATTATCTTTTATTAGAAAGACAAAAAAAGACTAAAAATAGGAGGGAAACAAAACGTACAGAAAGTTAAACAGCATTTAAATACATTTGGTATGTAGGTCTATATGATATATACATATATATATATATATATATATATATATATATAGTATGCATTAGAATGTAGAGAGGTTTAATAATATTGAATTTATAAAATTGAATCGACCATCTATCTCCTTGAAAGTAAGTAGTAGGGTGACCAACTGTTTCATCTTGCTCAGGGCTGAGGAGGGTTTCTCAGGACACAGGATTTTATTGTGAAAACTGGTAACATCACGGGCAGATTGGGAAGGTTCATCACTCTAAATAGGTATGAGCATTTTTAATTTCTGTGGCCTATTATCTTCACATGGCTTAGTAAGTACATTATTTCTAATTTTAAGCTATTTTTTTCATTAGGACAAAAAGAAAAGAATAGGGCAATCGGTTACTCTCTTTGAAGAGATGATGAGAAGGAAGAGAAATATTTGAAAATCTCATCAGAGTGACTCAGTTTTTTGTCTATTGTGCTGATTTTTTTTTTTACTGTCGACTGGTTTGGGTCTATTAAAACTCAGATTATTGCATTTGTCTGTGAGGTTTCATTACCTCTTATCAAAAAGAAGCCCTGCTGTTAGGGCATCTGGGAAGTCTCTCATCTTTAGAAAGTGAAGAAAATATAAGATTCCAGCCACACATCTCAGGCCCAGTTGGTTCAGCAACACTGTGTTACCATTCTCTGCGGCAACTGTACTGCTTTGTAATTAAAACTCTGGTGAGTTAAGTCCGACAGGCTCAGTAACTAGTAGATTATGAAAGAAAAAAAATCAAGAGAAATTTACTTTACCACATGAATCAAATAGCTAAGAAAGAAAGAGAACAAAGATGTAACCCTGAAAGTGCACTTACCTTTCAGTGTTGTTTCTTAGAGTCACATTGATTTATTGGAGCTTGCTAGGATGTTCCTTTTTTAAAAGACCTAATTTACTAACAGTGTGGGATTTTCCAAGTTTTTCACTCCCTTCAGATTGCATTTTCATTTGCTCTAGCTGTGAAGACCTATAATACAGAGACATTACAATTGAACTCAGTGTGGGAGTCTCTCCAAGGCAGAGAATTCCCATATATCTTTTTGTCTTGTGGAACCTTTTGAGAGTCTTCGGGTCCTAAAAATGGAGAGCAATTTGGCACTCATTTCAATGTATTATTGATATTGGCCTCCTTTTTGGTTCAGTTGAGGAAATTGTGTCCAACTGTTTTTATTTTCTAATAGGCCAGGTTATATAACCACAGTAACTCATGGGACAAAGTCTACAATTAGACTTCTGCCTCTGTTTGGCACTCTAGATTGTAACAGAGGCAAATTTCATTTCTTTATCTTAAACTTAGGGAACGTTGACACTTTAGATGGGGTGTACAAAGGTTCAAGGAGTATAGCTCTAAGAACAGCGAAACTAAGTAATTTAACCTGGGCACTTTCAGTAGTGAAAGAGGACATAATTAATAATTATGCTTACAGACCTGATGAAAACCAGGTTTATCCCAGGCAAACCAGAAGTTAAAGTCATAATTAAGACCCTGTAGGGGAAGAATCATAGTGCCAAATTTCAAACTGGATTACAATGGGTATGAAGAAAAAAAGAGAGGTTGAGCCTACTCATAATTCTGATTTCTACATGACAGGGGTATACTGAGAAGTCCATCTTCAAAACACTCTCAGCTTAAGGAAACAAATTCGAGAAAACACATTCATTTAATAAATATTTATCAGTTATGTGCTAGGCATGGGACTAAGTTCTGGAAGTATAATGATGAGCCGAAATAGCATCCCTACCTTCATAAAAATTAGAACTTCATAAGACATGAATTAGTAAAATAATCTCAAAAATAAATATCTGATTAGAAAATTAGATAAAAGATATAGAGTAGTGCATAGTCTAGTGAGAAAAGTCAGAGGAGTCCAGACCCAATCTGGTAGTCCACAAAAGGTTGTTGTGAACTAGAGTTTACTGGTTGAGGGGGTAATAGTTTTAGGCAAGGGGAAGAGCAGAGACCCTCTTGACTAAGCCTTGAGTTCTGCTCCTGGGGAGTAGCTCTCCTAATCAATTGTTCCCCATGGCTATTGGGTCTATTCTTTGAAAGTTCCTTTTCTTTACATTTTCCTTCCTGGTCACGTCTGAAGGGATGTTAGTTTTTAACAGAATATGTCTTCCTTGGAGGCTGAGCAGATTTCTCAACCAGCTTTCTGCCAGTGGAAGACTGGAAATGCAAAAATTATTTTGTGAGTTAATCAGTTACTGTATCTTTTAGTCTTGTCTGATGGTTCTTTTTGACCAGGCAGTTCTCTTAAGAGCTTGAGTCAGTTTTTTTTTTGTTTGTTTTTTGTTTTTTTTATATTATTATGATTATTATTTTTATTTTTATTTATTTATTTTTTTATTATACTTTAAGTTTTAGGGTACATGTGCACATTGTGCAGGTTAGTTACATATGTATACATGTGCCATGCTGGTGCACTGCACCCACTAACTCGTCATCTAGCATTAGGTATATCTCCCAATGCTATCCCTCCCCCCTACCCCCACCCCACAACAGTCCCCAGAGTGTGATATTCCCCTTCCTGTGTCCATGTGATCTCTTTGTTCAATTCCCACCTATGAGTGAGAATATGCGGTGTTTGGTTTTTTGTTCTTGCGATAGTTTACTGAGAATGATGTTTTCCAATTTCATCCATGTCCCTACAAAGGACATGAACTCATCATTTTTTATGGCTGCATAGTATTCCATGGTGTATATGTGCCACATTTTCTTAATCCAGTCTATCATTGTTGGACATTGGGGTTGGTTCCAAGTCTTTGCTATTGTGAATAATGCCGCAATAAACATACGTGTGCATGTGTCTTTATAGCAGCATGATTTATAGTCCTTTGGGTATATACCCAGTAATGGGATGGCTGGGTCAAATGGTATTTCCAGTTCTAGATCCCTGAGGAATCGCCACACTGACTTCCACAATGGTTGAACTAGTTTACAGTCCCATCAACAGTGTAAAAGTGTTCCTATTTCTCCACGTCCTCTCCAGCACCTGTTGTTTCCTGACTTTTTAATGATTGCCATTCTAACTGGTGTGAGATGGTATCTCATTGTGGTTTTGATTTGCATTTCTCTAATGGCACTGGTACCAAAACAGAGATATAGATCAATGGAACAGAACAGAGCCCTCAGAAATAACGCCGCATATCTACAACTATCTGATCTTTGACAAACCTGAGAAAAACAAGCAATGGGGAAAGGATTCCCTATTTAATAAATGGTGCTGGGAAAACTGGCTAGCCATATGTAGAAAGCTGAAACTGGATCCCTTCCTTACACCTTATACAAAAATCAATTCAAGATAGATTAAAGACTTAAACGTTAGACCTAAAACCATAAAAACCCTAGAAGAAAACCTAGGCATTACCATTCAGGACATAGGCATGGGCAAGGACTTCATGTCTAAAACACGAAAAGCAATGGCAACAAAAGCCAAAATTGATAAATGGGATCTAATTAAACTAAAGAGCTTCTGCACAGCAGAAGAAACTACCGTCAGAGTGAACAGGCAACCTACAAAATGGGAGAAAATTTTCGCAACCTACTCATCTGACAAAGGGCTAATATCCAGAATCTACAATGAACTCAAACAAATTTACAAGAAAAAAACAAAGAAACCCATCAAAAAGTGGGCGAAGGACATGAACAGACATTTCTCAAAAGAAGACATTTATGCAGCCAAAAAACACATGAGAAAATGCTCATCATCACGAGTCAGTTTTTTATCTATTTGGTTACAATCAACTCTCTATTTGAATAATCCAAATCCACATTTTTTAGTAAAACAAGTCTCTCAGTCTTTCTCTCTCTCGATGTATTTTCTGCTGGTTTGAGTCTATCAGTCTTCTCACAATAGTTATACTTTTAGTGTCTTTTTGGAGTTATTTGAACCAACTGAAAAATATTAGTTTCTAGATTCAGAGAGTTTTAAAAAAACATTTATTTTGTCCCTTTCTAAAAAAGGGAGTTGTAAACATACCTTGATTTGTTTTCCAATTTTAGGGAAACTAAGTTATAATCAGCCATAGTTTATCAAAGGCCTTCTTAGTTAAACGCTTTACTTATTGGAAATGATATCATTTGCATCTTCTAGCCTTACACATCCTGGAATTTCAGGACTTTCTCAATTGCCTTCCAAGCATGTCTGCAGCCTGCCCAAGTTTATTCTGTGTGCATTTCATTTTGTAGTACCTTGTCAAATGCAACCAACTCATGCTGCTATTAAAATCCTATTTTCCCCCTTCTACAATCAAAGCCAAAATGTACATTATCTGCTAAGATATAACAGATGATAGGTTCATCAATTGTTTTGCTACTGCAAACATAGGTCAGTATATTTCCAACCTTCATTAACAGTTTTCTCACTGTCCACTATCTGACACCCTAAAGCCAATATTTTTTATTTTTTGTTGGGGAAGCATTACACTTTTGGGTTCTACTTTCTATATAATCAGCTTAGCTAAATCAGGCTGTGGTAATAAATGACACCCCAAATCTGAGTGGCTTAATAACAACCACGTAACTCTTACCCATGCTATTTGTCCACCATGGGTCAGTTTAGCTCTTTACTCCAGAGTGCAGAATAATGGAGCATCCTTTATCTTTGATATGGGCTAGTGGAATAGTGGGTTAACCAATCATTCTCAAAGTTTCTGAAGGGAAGTGGCACATTCCACTTTCTCTCATATTTCATTGGCCACATCAATAGGGTGAGATGAATATTCTTTCGTCAGGAGGAAATTCCAAAAGAGGCAGTTTCAAATATTTGGGATAACAGGACTAGAAGATCACTAAAAGTCCTCCCCACACCATCCGTTTTATTTCATGCTCTCTTTCTGGGAAAATCCTTCACCCTATTCTCTTTGTTCAATAAGATAGGTTCGACATATAGTGTCATACTGTATGTGAGTGCATTTGATATTAAAAAAACAGTCATATCAATTTACTAGTAATGCAACATCCCATTAGTAAATAAAGAGCTAGAAAAGTAAATGAAATTAATATTTGTTTTATTCTTTTTTTCATCAACTTTATAGGCCCAAAAAGACTAGGTAGATTTATATTTTCAATATGTTTGAAAAAGGCAAATATGATTCATGCATTTTGTTAAGAAAAATATAAAGGGAAAAAATACATATAAAAAGACAATATGAACCAATTACGTATTTCATCAAACCAAATAGAAAGCAATTTATGATTTTATATAAATATTTGTATCAAAACTATTTTTATCACTTAAATTGTGAGAGATGACACAGCATGGTGTAAATTTTGTATTTAGAATCACAGTGATGTAGAAATAAATTCTAGCTTCATTTTTATTAGCTTTGCACTTTGGGCAAATTACTTGTGAAAACACCATAAACCACTATACAAATTGGAGTTGGAGAAAGGGATAAGAATCCTGTTAAATTTATTTTGTTTTTCTAACTAACCATTTAGCTCACTGTACATTCTTATTGGGACACTATCTTTGAGCGTCACCATCCCATGTTTCCCAGAAGTGGATGCAGTCTAAAGAATTTTCTACATTAGTCTTACATAGAACTGGAATCTACTCACCTTCTGAGTGTTAGCATCACCTTTGAAGTTTATTTCTTAAATATCCTGTAGGTGAGGCAGTTCCATGATTTTGAAGGCACCATTGCTAATTTGGAGACCTTCCCAGAGCTCACTGGGAAGGATGACGATCTCATGCTCTCAGGCCTAAATTTGATCAAAAGGGACAACATTTCGATGCTAAGCTTACAAATCCCTCAGTGTATTTATAAATCCCTCACATACAGTTTACATATCAGGGAATTCACCAGCTATAGGAGTGCAAATTTTGGATAAGTTCTAGCAACCTTCACCTTAAAGACACAAAAAACAAAAAAACAAAAAAGAAATCCCAGCAGGGTGCGGTGACTCACACCTGTAATCCCAGCACTTTGGGAGGCCAAGGGGGGCAGATAGCTTGAGCCCAGGAGTCTAAAACCAGCCTGGCCAACATTGTGAAACCTTGTCTTTAGTAAAAATACAAAAATTAGCTGGATGTATGTATGTACAGGTGGGTGCCTGTAATCTCAGCTACTTAGGAAACTGAGGCAGGAGACTGCTTGAACCTGGGAGGCGGAGGCTGCAGTGAGCCAAGATAGTGGCACTGCACCCTAGCCTTGGCAACAGAGTGAGACTGTGTCTCAAAAAAATAAAAAAAAATGAATCCCTTAGCTTCCCTGAAAGTCAATTTACTTCAGAGGTAAGAAAATTTCTTTTTTAAAAAATAAAAGAATCAAAAATAAAACAGAAAGATCTTTTTGTTATTATATTATTGTATTATTTTATATCTCTTCTGAAAACTACTCTCAGAGGTTTAAATGTAATTTTGTGTCTTAACCAAAACAGAAATGAACTGGCAAATGTCTCACTATAGAAGAGAAGAAGAAAATTAATCTCTAGTAAAATATCAATAAAAGTCTGAGCACTGCACTAGTTTTAACCAGTCTGATCCTCAGTTTCTCACTATAAAACATGGTAGTGACAATATTTACTTCACATTGAAAATTTAGGCTAAAACAAAGCACAAAGCTTCTCTATGGTTAATTTTGATTGCTTCATAACTTTGAAAGGTCTTGTTTCAGCAAAGTTTTAGTTTTGAGAATACACATGCAAATGATTAATATTTAGGAAAAGTTAGAAATATAATAATGTTAGACCTTAAGAGTAGGACCCACGAAAGTTGCAAACACTTCTAGCCTTATTATTCACATACCTCTCATGAAGTTTCTTGGTTCTTGACTCTTTCTATTGCTACCGGTTACAACTTATGAAAATATTACATATTGACATGGCATGAGTTTTATACTATCGTTAAGCCCAAAAGCTTTCTCCCGCTGCTTCAACTCTAAAGAATGATCACCGGAAAATTCTGCATTGACTTCCCAGGTAATATCTTACCTCAGAGTTCTTTATGCCTCTGCACTGGTGGTGGCCATTTCACACTTTGGGCAGGTTCAGGGTAGCTGCAAGGTCAAAGCACAGTATCTGGAACGTAAGTGATCAGTATCCGTCTGTTGAATGAAGGACACTTTTGGAAGAAATTTTCTTTCTTCATAGACTAAAGACAGAGAGAGAGGAAGATGAAAAGAAACTACAGGCTCTATCTGGGTTATGCTAACTTCAAAAATAGAAGGGACCAGTGTAACTGGGTAACACAGAAAGGGGGAAGATCTGAAGACTTCTTTGGAAATTCTAGCACCAGACAGCCACAGGAAAGAAAGGACCCAAGGACTCCAAAAAATATTACACAATAGAAAAGCTGGGATTTGGGGATGAGGCCTACCAGGAATCCATCAGCATGTACTTCAAAACCTCTGTTACTAAAAAGACAAGGGAAGAAGTTTGGCCCAAAGAGCCAAGTTGGAATTGCTGATATTATACAGCTGACCTTGGGTAAGAAGGAGGAGAAAGTGTATTAAGCGTGTATCAGTTGGCTAACAGCCAGGCTGTGACTGCTTATTCAGAGAACTAGCATTCAGGGAGGAGGGCTTGGAGGCTTTCCATGCAGGAGTGGGAAAAATGCCTCTTATTTCTTTTCTGGGATATGCACCCAAGGGGAGAGACAAACTTGAAACCGCATACAATATGGGAAGGTTCTGGGCTTGGCATATTATAGCATCTCTTCTCCTTTTCCACACCATTTTCTCCAGAAACAACTCTGAATCACAAGAAGTTAAGGAAAATGCAATTTCAACCCTGTGTAGAATTGAGAGACACCTCATAAATAGAAGCATAAAATCGCTCAGTAGCCTCATTTTATTCTGTGGGGCTTCAGGTCAATTTTGAACTCGTAAAGGAGAGGACTTCAGGCCATCTTTGACAATTATACTTTTGTTTTTCTAATCTTGTACACATGTGAAGGTCAATGGAGAATTTGGGCAGGAGCTTTAATCAAGCCCTTTTCAGCAATTTACAAAACTGATCCTTTGCTGGCATTGAAAGACCAGAGCACATATGAATGCTTCTAGTCTTCTGGCATGTCATCTTTCCATAAGCTTTTTATTCAGATTCCTTAAAATCCCTGGAAAATAAATTGGGTAGAATTGGCACCATGAAATTATTTAAAGTATCTAAACAACTCTCTTATGGTCTCATTGTATGTCTTGTTTTGCTTTCTTTTTTTTTTCTTTTATGTTGTTCTAATCTCCGGATTATACATGTGTAAACCACACATTATTTTCTAGTTTATACATAGACAATTTGGTTAAGAATTCATGTTCAGTTCCCTAAATAAACAATATTTTTCTCTTATATAAATTATAGTGTATATTATTCATACTTGTCACAACTCTTTATGTTCTAAGTCGCTCGATTTTTTCCTGTGTGACTTTCCTGCCTAAACCAACCTATTTAGGTATGACTCATTTCCCATCAAAGGAGACCTTGCTTTGAAAACATAACTTATTGTGAAGTGATGACTAAATCACAAGCTAATGTAAGGAAAGACTATCAGACCTTTCAACTCTTTTTTTTTTTTTTGTCTGAGACGGAGTCTCACTCTGTCGCCCAGGCTGGAGTGCAGTGGCGCGATCTCGGCTCACTGCAAACTCCGCCTCCCGGGTTCACGCCATTCTCCTGCCTCCGCCTCCCGAGTAGCTGGGACTACAGGCTCCCGCCACCACGCCCAGCTAACTCTTTGTATTTTCAGTAGAGACGGGGTTTCACCGTGTTAGCCAGGATGGTCTCGATCTCCTGACCTCCTGATCCGCCCACCTCGGCCTCCCAAAAAGTGCTGGGATTACAGGCATGAGCAACCGCACCCGGCCAGATCTTTCAACTCGAGATCATTCCAGACTTTACTCTTCTTTATTGTGTGAAAATGTTTTCTTAGCTTCAGAATGTAGCCTGTACAAATTAGCTGCTTTATAGATTGGAAAACTCTGAGAAGAGTTAGAATTTCCTATGTAACAACACTTTGCGAACTATATGGGTATCCTGAGAGGGGGAGGGGGTGAACTGGTTAAAGGAGGAGGTGATATTTATCAAAAAGCGGTTTTCTCTTCAGCTTGCATACTGTTTCCCGTCAGTGCTTAAAACCAGCAGGGTTTTCAGGACAAGTTACAGTACTACAGATGTTTTGAGCCATTAACATATGGTTTGAATACTGTTGTGGTAGGATTTTTTACAGATATATTTTCATCTTGCAAACTGAAAGTTAAATGTCTTTCCATTAATCCACCCATGTCATATTTATTTGTCCCCAGAAAAGCCAAGATTTAGTTTTGCCACATTTTGTATTCAAACACAAGAGAGGTGACAAGGTTTGACATGGGTCAGTCCTTTCCACACCAAGTACCTGAGAAGATTCCCTAGAAAATTGTTATCTGGGAACCACATCTATTTGTGAAGTGGATGATAAACTATTGTTCATCTTGTCTCGTGACCACCAGGGAGATGAATGCAATTTGCACAGTGCAATGGTAATAACTAATGTGACATTTTCAATGAAATCTAATCATGGATTCTAAATAGTCACACCCAGAGCCTTTGCAGAGAGTATTTTTTTTTTCTCTTTGAAAAAGTGCTCTTTGAATAGACAAACACATTGTCTGCTTTCAGATAGGTAAATATTGTAGTTTTAAATATATGGTTCATGGAGTACAATTCATGCAAGTTATTTTGGAACACTTAGTTCTAGTCATCAAAGCCTAGTAATTCGGTGGCCATAAAATTTATCATGCAACCTTGTGAGGGTAGAAGGAAGTGCCATTAATGATTACACAGAAACAAGAATCTGAAACTGGTACTGTCCTGGGCAAACAAAGATATAGAATCATTCTGCACCTAATGAACTATGAAAATTGCTAACATTGTAAACTGATTATTTTTGGAGAAAGTGAAAATCACATGTTATTAGAAAGCTAGTAAGTTATTGTGATCTGATGAACAGAGGTGAAATCTCAATTCTACATTCATGGGGACTCTATTAGGAAAGAAAGCCTTATAATATGAATACCTCCCTCTGTGAGCTCCAAAGAATTTCACTGGTATTTCAGGCTGGAGTATGTATGTTTAGGATTATTGATGGAGTGAGACCTTTCCATTCTTCTCAATGTCCTTGGCAGCTGGCTATGGATATTTTCAGATTTAAACCATTTTATTTCCAGAGAACTGTTGTATGCTAGACTATTCCAAGGGAAAAAAATCAGGAAATAGTATCGACATAAAGGAAAAGAGGCTTTCCTATTACTTCTCTCATCATGTATTGTTTTTTTTTCAATTTATGTTAACATGGAAGTATCTGAATTTTTAATGTGGCTTAACCCTAAGGACTGCTGCTAGAAAATAGCCAGAGGGTGTGTGCTGTTTATACAAGTCATTTGGTATCAAGAAGGGCAGCATGCATATCCTGACCTAGTTCTATTAATTTGTCTGGAGGACAACCAAGAGACTGTACACTTGAAGGAGATAAGAATTTCCTTCCCCAAAGTTATTTTAGATGAAGGCACATATCCATTTTGGATGACACTAAAGAAATAGTGCTGTAACTAAGGTGCAGAGCAGCTATTGGGTTCGCTAATGCTTGAGAGAAAGAATATCATGAAAATATTATATGATGGGCGGACATAGTGGGATGGTGAAAATCATAAATGCAAGAGTGGGAGTCCCTGATAGTCAAGTTGAGGAGTCAGAACTGTAAATTGGCTTCTTGTAATAGAAGTTCCTTAACAAGAATGGAAAAAAGCTAGAATATGCTAAATAGGATGAAATATTTAGTTCAGGAAAGTGGAGCATGTTGCTGAGAGCCCAGAACCAGAAAGTTAATTTACAGTGTTTCTTTTGGAACATCTGAGATTACCAGTTTACAATGTAAGTAGCTGTAAGGACAGTGGTTCTGACTTGAAGCGAAAGAATGGTTCCGCAATTCAGACAGCAAGACACTTGTTACTTCTGAGGACAAAAATTCATACTAAAGGAATTCATTGAAATTCAAGTACAAAGGGCTTTTTAATTATTCTTTTAAAAATTTATTTTAACTTTTATAGTGCTGTAATTTTTTATTAAAAAAATTTTAAAGCCAAATGTGGTGGGTCATGCCTGCAATCCCTGTGCTTTGGGAAGCTGAGGCAGGAGGATTACTTGAGACCAGGAGTTTGAGACAAGCCTGGGCAATGTAGCAAGCCCCTGTTTCTATGAAAAAAAAAATAAAAAATTTGCTGGGTGTGGTGGTGCAGGCCTGTAGTCCTAGCTACTTGGGAGGACGAGGTGGGAGAATAGCTTGAATCCAATGGGTTGAGGCTGCAGTGAGCTATGATCATGCCACTCTACTTCAGTTTGGGTGACAGTGTGAGACCCTGGCTCAAAAAAAGTTAAATGGATACATAATAATTGTATGAGCTACATAGCGACGTTGTGATACATATAATATACAGTGATCAGATCAGGTAATTAGTATATCCATCACCTCAAACATTTATCATTTCATTGTGTTGGGAATATTCAATATCCTCCTAGCCATTTGAAACTAAATAATATATTATTGTTAATTATAGTCATCCTACAGTGCTGTAGAATAGTAGAACTTATTTCTCATACCTAGCTGTAATTTTGTATCCTTTAACGAATTTCTCCCTATCCCCACTTCCCCCTACTTTTCCCAGCCTCTAATATTCTCTGTTCTACTTTTTACTTCACTTTATGAGATCAACATTTTTTTTTTTTTTAGCTTCCACATATGAGGGAGAACATGAGGTGTCCACTTTCTGTGCCTGGCTTATTTCACTTAGCATAATGTCCTCTAGCTCCATCCATGTTGCTGCAGATGACTAGGTTTTATTCTTGTTTACGGCTGAAGATTATTCCATTGTTCATATATAGCACATTTTCTTTATTCCTCTGTTGATGGACATGTAGATGAATTTCCATGTCTTGGCTATTGTAACAGTACTGCAGTAAACATGGGAGAACAGATGTCTCTTTGATATACTCATTTTCTTTCCTCTGAATTGATGCCCAATAGTTGGATTGCAGGATCATATGGTACTTCTCTTTGTAGTTTTTGAGGAATTTCCATACTGTTCTCCATTGTGGTTGTACTAGTTTACATTCCCACCAATAGTGTATAAGAGTCCTTTTGTCCGCATCCTCATCAGCATTTGTTATTTTTTGTCTTTTGGATAATAGCCATCTTAACTGGGGTGATATGATACCTCATTATGGTTTTGATTTGCATTCTCCTGAGGATTAGTCAGGTTGAGAATTTTTTCATATATTTCTTAGCTATTTGTATGTTTTCTATTTTCCTTAACTTTCTAATGAATATTGATCTCAAATATATTTTTAAGAATTATTTTAAGATTTTTCTATTGTTTACATTTCATCCAAAATGGCCTTATATTTTGGTTGTTAAATTTGACGGATTTCCTTATTAATAAAGTTTTTGGTTTAGTGCTTTAACATATTTGTGAGCTCATTCGAGGTGACTATTTCTCTCTTTATTTCTCTCTACCAATTTTTTTCCACTCCAGTAGTGGTTTTGCTTATCTGCCCTTGGACCTCGGAATTCTGAAGGCAGAATCAGAGGATGGCTTGTCACAGGTATTGTCCAAGGTGATTTTTTTTGTTTCTTCCTCCACAGCAACATTCAGGGTGACTTTTTGCTTTCTTTCACAGGCTCCACAGACGCACCTCAGCCCAGGTTGCAATTAGTAAACCTGCCTCTGCTGTTCCTGCTACATAGGACCACACTTACAGTCGCTTCTGTTAATGATCCTAGAGTCCTAGATGCTCTTGGCTTGGGCTTCCGTGTAACACACGTTTCTGTTCTGTTCTTTAAATATTAGCCTCACTCTTTGAATAAGGATATTTATTTTTAAATGTTCTAACAATATTATTTGTGATTCTTATGTTTAAAGCTGAGGGAGAAATTCAAAGCCATCCTGGCACAAAATCCTCTGGTATTTCACGGAAAACAAAAATGTTACATTTTTCTTTATGATTGCTACTATTGTTTGCAAATGTTTTTTCCCACAGTGAAATCATACCCAAGTCAAACAAATTTCTTTAGTTCTTTGATGACTTCATTTAAACATTTTTAATTCTTTACGTTGAGTATATCTTGCCTCTATGTTTTTAAATAACTTGGTTATATTTTTCCAGAAGCCTCACATATCTGAGGACTAAATAAATGTTTCTTAATGGTTAGAAAAATTGCAATTAAAAATATTCTAAGTACAAATACTGTCCACAAATCTGTCTAATGATACCCTGCTAAATATTGTTTCTTTATAATAGTTCTTGTTTGTGTGTGTGTTTTCTTGGTAAAAGTAATTCCAAGTGTTTTCTCTCACTCCACAGTCTTCTTTTTCTTTCCTTTTTTCTTTTTTTGAGATGGAGTCATGCTCTGTTGCCTAGGCTGGAGTGCTGTGGCGCGATCTTGGCTCACTGCAACCTCCACCTCCTGGGTTCAATCTATTCTCCTCCCTCAGCCTCCTGAGCAGACTGAGGTTACAGGCACCCGCCATCATGCCCCGCTAATTTTTGCATTTTTAGTAGAGATAGGGTTTCACCATGTTGGTCAGGCTGATCTCGAACTCCTGACCTCAAGTGATCCTCTAGTGTTCTGGCCCCCAGTCTCCTTTTTCAAGTACTTATTGGCTTCTCTCACCTATTTGCTCTTCCAGAGGAAGGATTGTGTCCCAACTGTCAAGCAGATTAAATCGAGATCATATTTAAATTACAATTTAGGAAAAATTAACATTCTCATCTGATAAGATGGCATGTTTTTTTCTATTATAGTAAAATTCTGATGTGTATGTGTATGTGTGTGTGTTTAATATTTCACATTAATATTGCAAGGAGTTTTATATTATTCTTTCTTTGTGACCAAACCTTTTTGTTTGTCTTCCAAGGACACTGTTTTTATGAAATGACAAATGTTTACTATTAAAAATTAAACAATACAGAAAAGTTTTAAAAAGTAAATAACAGTATTACCATACATACTAACCACTCGAAACATTTAGTAAGCAATGTTTCAGATGTTGATCTCCACAAACTTACACATCAAAGTAAGATTCATGACAGGCAGACATGAAGGTCAAATTAATAATATAAAAATAGGTACATGCTCTATATGGATTTTAATAAAATATCACATTGGTTTCATTTGCATTTAATAGATAAAAAGATGTAAAACAAAAATCTAGTGTTTAAATAATAAAATATGTTACTATCTAGAATATTTGTCTCAAGTAAAAACAAGTTAAGAACATACAGAGTTTGAGAACATTCTGTTTTTCTATTCATTGCACGTATCCTTTTTGTTAACTAACCTCTTGCTCACTAGATTGATCTCCAGTTTTTGGATACTTTCTCTCATTGCTCCTTCCCCACCCCAGATATATAATGATTTGTTAAAATGTACCCATCTAGATTTTGTTCTGCAAATACAACATCTGTTGTTTTATTTAAGTTCTATATTTAAAGGGATCTTACTTTTCTTTCCCAAGTTATATATTTTGATTCATTTATTTAACTGACTTCATTGCCAAGTGGTTTTTCAGTAGGGACCCATGAGTGGTATTTCTCTGAGTTATTACATCTTTAGAATGTCTGTCTGTTGATTTATACCCAGAATGACCATTTGACTAAGCATCACACTCATGGATCAAATTGTGTTCTCAAAACTTGGAGGTATTGTTCAATTTTCTTTGGCATTGAGAATTGTTGTGCCTAAGTATGAAGCCAATCCTATTTTTCACTTCTTGTAGATCTTTTTTCTTTCTGTCTATATCCCTAAATAATTTTCTTCATTCCCAAATTGGAATAACAACCAGGATATAGCTCTGTATTAACTGGTTTTTTAAATATTTATTTTTTTAAAAAAATACATTTTTTCTTTTATGTTTGAACACAAGTTATTCTTTAAATATTCATATTTGGCATGTTTCATTCCTTCTCTATTTTTGGGAAATACCACTCTGTTATACCCCTAAGTTTATTTTCTGTTCAAAGTGCTGGGTTTTCTATTTTTTATCATCATGTCTCTGTCTCTCTTCACACTCACATACACACATATGTTCATATATGCTAGTGTTTATATATACATAAATTACATATATATGTATATGTCTGTCAACGACCTTCTGTATTTTAATATTTGTTTTTTTCTTCTATATTCATTGTGATTACATTAATGCTTTTACCTATGCCTGTAATTTGACTTTTATCTCTATCTATTCTAGACTTTGTTGTCTCCAATTATTAATTAGTTTTGTAATCACATTATTTCATTCTAAGTTTTTAATCTAAATTAGTTGTTGCATATTCTTTAGATTTTATTTAATTCATATTTTTAAAGACTTCTTAGCATGAAGTTTATATATGCTTATTTTTCTGTTATTTGCATTATATTTTCCAATTTACTTTTTCTTGTTATATACCCTATAATATAATTACATAGCTGAAATGTCATTTTTTTCAATTCCTTTTTTGCTTAATAGGCAGAGATGCCAATTGCTTTATTTTCCTTAAAAAGTATATGTGAATTCTCTTTGACATCTACCACCACTTGCTTGGGACCTAGGAAGAGTACTAAAGTACTTGTGTGCATGTTGGAGGGCAGGTACTCCTTTGAAGCCGCTTTCTGTAGTGTAGGGCAACAGAAGGGAAGTGTATTGAGGTATTCTTTGCCTCATCAGCCATGCCTCTCCTATACACACATGCCTGCTGCTGCACTCCACAAAACTGCGATTACTAGGATGTTGTTTTCTTACTTTTGCTAGCATGTTTTGAATAGTGGCATATGGTTGTATCCCTTTTCATTGCTTGGTTTCTGTTGTGGTGAATTTTTACTATTTAAATTAAGATAATTATATAAAGACTAAAGAGGGATTCAATAATCTAGCTTCTTTCTAGTGTCTTAATGTGGAAGACCATTTTTCAAGGTTTCTCTATTTAATAGTTTGTTGTAAGTTTTCTGTTTTATTATTTCTTTACTAATTGACCTTGTTTTGTGATTTATTTCCATTATTTCACAATAGATTATCTTTCCTTCTTCTAAGGAAGATTTTAATTCCATAGCTGTATTTCTTATTTTTGAAGCTTTCTTACTCATGCATTTTATATTTTGTTATATAATGTTTTTCTTTTACCTCACAATAGATGTGTGGTAACATTCTATACTTGTTTATATATTATGCCATTGTTTTTCTAAATAGGTTTTATATTCTTTAGGATAGAAGAACTACATTTCCAAGTATTTAGATACTAGTATTTACCTCCAATTGTACAACATTATACTTATAGAATGAGGTATATTCATTTCTGTTTCTTAAACTTTGAGATTCAATTTACAACATAATATTTGATACATTCAAAAAGTGTTCTGGATCAAAAACAACTGAAATCACAGATAACCTTTATAAACAGTGAAAAAGGAATCATGACAAAAAATGTCAGTTAGAGAGATCACATAGGACTGAATACTGATGAATTAAAAATATAGATTATATGGTTAAGTAGCTAGAAAAATACAGTTTGCCAAACTGACACAACAATAGAAAGTATGAATGGTTCTTTATATATTTATATATTCTATATGTAAAATGTTATGTACATATACATGTATGATGTACATATATGTGTAAATATATATATATATTTTGTGTATATATATACATACACACATATGTATAATCAGCCCTTCATATCTGTGGATATTGCATCCATGGATTCAATCAAATGAAGATTGAAAATATTAAAAATGAAAAAGAATGACTGTGTCTGTACTCAACATGTACAGACTGTTTGTTCTTGTCATGGTTTTCTAAACAACATAGCAAAACAATTATTTACCTAGTATTTACATTGTATCTAGTACTATAAGTAACCTAGAGATAATTTAAAGTACAGGAGAGGATGTACATAAGTTACATGCAAATACTACATCATTTTTTATAAGGGACTTGAGTATCCATAGATTTTGGTATTCTGTGGTGGGTCCTGGAACCAATCCCACATGGATACGAAGCTATGACTGTATATATGCACATTAAATACATTGAAATCTGTTATTAAAAGTCTTCCCCAAAGTGAAAAAAGTAGGTCCAGATGGCTCTTGGATGAATTATATAGAATTTTTAAGGAAGACATAATATCAAGCTTACCCAAACTTCAGGCTCCAGAGAAAAACTAGAGAATGCTTCCCACCAAATTTGTATGGGCTTGCACAACCTCTATACCAAACCAGACTGTAAAATTTGCAAGCAACATTCTAGCAAAGCAAATTTATACACACACACACACACAGAATACCTCATGAAAAAGTTACATTTTTTTTCCAGAAATACAAGATTAGTTTAACATTTGAAAAACCAATTCAATTTGCCACATTAATAGAATAAAGAAGAATAATATGATCATCTCAATAGATGCCTAAAAAGCATTTGATAAAAATTTTTATTTTTATTTTTTGTAGAGATGGGGTCCCTTTGAATTCTTAATTATTATTATTTATTATACTCTAAGTTCTGGGATACATGTGCAGAACGTGTAGGTTCGTTACATAGGTATACATGTGTCATGGTGGTTTGCTGCACCCATCAACGCGTCATCTGCAATAGTTATTTCTCCTAATGCTATCCCTCCCCTAGCCCCCGACCCTTCGACAGGCCCTGGTGTGTGATGTTCTCCTCCCTGTGCCCATATGTTCTCATTGTTCAACTCCAACTTATTAGTGAGAACATGTGGTGTTTTCGTTTTCTTTTCCTGTGTTAGTTTGCTGAGAATGACGGTTTCCAGTTTCATCCATGTCCCTGCAACAACTTACAAGGGATCACATTTGATAAATCTTAACATACATTAAAAATAAAAATTATTTGCAAACTAGAAATAGGAAGATATTTTTTCCATCTTATAAATGGTATCTCCATAAACTTAATGTAAATGCGCTATTTAATGGTGAAATACTTAATCTTTTCTTTGAGATTGGGAATAAAATGAGGACTTCTGCTCTTTTTAACTTTTCAACATTTCATGAAGTTTCACAGCCTTAGCCTTATTTTGGGGTGGAAAATTATTTATTGGGGGGCTGTCTTGTATGTTGTAGGATGTTTAGCAGCATCTCTGGCCTCTGGATGCCAATATCACTCTGCCCTCCCTCAATTGTCCCAACAAGACTGTTTCTAGACCTTGACAATATCCCGTGGAAGAAAGGGCAATATCGCTAGTTAAGAACCACTGTTCTACCTAGTGTAATTAAACAAGAAGAAAATGTACATATGAATTGGAAGATAAGTATTAAAACATTAATTATCTCCTGATGGTATTTGTATATGTAGAAAATCCAAACAAATCTATACATAAAAGAATGAATAAATTGGTTACAGGAGGTTGTTTAATGCATATATATTCAACATATACAAATTTGTTACACTCTACTATAACAAACAACAATAATGTTTTAAATGTTATTTTTAATGCCATGAATAAAAAATTTCAAATAAATACATGGTGTGTCTATCCTCTGAAGAGAATAATAAAATATTATTGAGAGAAATTTTAAGAACCAAAACAAATGGGAAGATATGTTCATGGGATAGAAGATTCAATATTGAAAATATTTCAATTCTCTTTAATGATTCAATGAAGTTCCAATAGAAATACCAAACATCAAGAGATTATTAAGCTATGATAATTAAGATATAATTGGTACAAGGAAAGAGATTTATCAATGAAAGAAACAGAATCGACAACCCAGCAGTAGACCCACACATATTTGGACACTTACGGGTAAGGTTGTATTACACATCAGTGTAACAGCCTTTTTAATAAATGGTACAAGATCTATTGGATATTCATAGTGGAGATAAAATGGAACTTGGCCTATCTTTTACATTATATAGAAATGTAATTTCTGGTGTATTGTAGATCTAAATCTAAAAGCAAAATAATAAAATTTCTAGAAGTACAGCACAATATTTTCATGACCTTGGGACAGGCATAGATTCCTAAAACAGAACACAAAACTCTAATCTTAAAGGAAATTATTAAGTTGAACTATATTAAAACTAAGAACATATTTTAAGAAAAATTAAGAGTAAAACAGCACACTGCAGAACAAGACATTTGCAATGTGTACATGTGACAGTGGGCTTGTATATAGATTATATAAATAACTCCAAAAATCAATAAAAAATATAGATACCCCATAGGAAAATGAATACAAAGCATAAACAGGTACTTGATAAAATAAGCACAGGAAAAAAAGCCACTTGGGTGGCTGTCAAATGTTTTCAGATAAAGAGCTGGAAGTGAATTGCTGTGTGCAGCTCTTGTTCTTCTCCCAGAATGCATTGCTTCACCATGCATGCTCTGTTTGCTTCACTTGACTGCCTCCTACTTTCAGAGACCTGCAGATAATGAATGTAGGTGGCCTTACATACAGATCTACACTTGTCCCAGACTCTGACATTAGGTTTCCCATCCATCTCTTCACAACATAAAAGTTAACAGAGCATAGACAGTATGGTTTTGTCTTCTTTTCTGTGTTGTCTTAGTTTTTTTTTATTGTTAGTTTGAGTTTTTTTTTTGAGGGGGTTAATTTGTTTTTCATGGAGAGTTAGGAGATGCTGTGTTATACTCTCCTATAGAGATATCATTTAAAACAGTCCAAGTGTGCTTTAAAAGGAAATTCAGATATAATCTTAGGAAAATGAAGAGAAGCCTCAGAGCATAAGAATGATGGAGGGTGGGAGAAGAGTGGGGAACGAGAGAAATAGATCACTTGGCAGGAAGAGGTATTACAAGCTGCTTACCCCCTCCCCCACCTTTGGCAATCAGAGTGAGTGACAATACAAAGTAGAGTACACCTGTTTCAATAATAACACAAACTGGAAATGGTGAAGCCATATTTCAAGAATTTGAGCCGTAAAAATCTTTAGATAGGAAGAGGAAAACAAACGACTGGGAAATAAGAGGTGATTAATGACCAGGAAATAATTTAAAATAATAATTAAAAATAAGAGAAGTGAGGAATGGATAGACTTTTGTCTTGTTTCTTCTTTTTCTTTCTTTTTGTTTTACATACTTGCTCTAAACAAGGATAGACACATTTCATATAAATTGACTATAATGTACTAATGAAATTATTTTAATTTTTACAATAATATTATGAAATGGGTATTAGTAACTCCCTTCTATAGGTGAGAAATGTGAGAAACATACAGTATAAATAATTTGCCTTAGGTCACAGAGGCACCTTTGTTTCCTGTCTTTAGTGTTCTGGAGCAACAGATTATGTGCTCCTCCATAGTTGGTGTAGCCCTTTCTACTTGGTAACATTAATTTTGGAAATATTGTTTATTACATTTATAATAAAGATGTAAGGCATGTATATTATTTAAATGTAAAGGCAATGTGTGTTAGATGGGGTTGTGGATATATCCATGCTTTTATGACTCGTGTATCTGAAGTAAATATATATAATTTCCAGGTCCTTTTTGATTATTCTAGAACAACTAATCAGCTATTGCCAGTCTTCCCAGATGAAGACATACTTCTGAGAAACTGAAGAGTATCTCTTGCCCTGTCTTGGAAACTTCAAGTCTGTTTTTGAAAGGAAACATCAGATGAATAAGAAGAGATGTTAGAAGAAATATCCTTTGATAAGTAAAAATAGATGCATTTCACCAAGGTATTTGTGATATCATCAAGTGTGTTTTCTTCTACTCCTCCTTCTCTTCTTCCATTTTACCTAAGTTAAATTCCAGCTGGCCTAAAAAGTAGATGTTTGAAGACTTTTATTAGTAGCACAGAAAATAATAATGTTAGTTTATTTTAGAGCTGAAAAGGGGTAGAAAGATTATTAATGTAGATAGGAAATTTGTAAGGGCAATAGGTACTGAATTGTAGTTAATATAAAATTGCCCTGAGTAATAATGTAAAATACATTAACATGAGTTTGAAAGCCCTACTTAATTATTAAACTTAACGTAGAAGGAATTGATGATATTACCTTAAGAATTTTTGGCTAGAAAATGACATTTGGCATGCATCAAGAATTCCTTGGCTTGCCAAGAAGTACAATGTTAACACCATATAATGAATTATAATGATCTGATTATGTACTACATATCCATATTTTTCCTTGAAACTCCCTAGACCTTCCATAAAATCAAGGCATTAGGAATAAGTTTAACATCTTTGGGAGAGTGATGATCAAGCTCTTTATATACTTCAATGATTCACTTCCATTCATATAGAACAAAATGTCGGGCTTCTAGCTAAGGTAGCCTGTTTGTAATTGGCCAAGTAATATTTAACACTCAGCACCTCTAAGTGTCAGATGATAGAGAAGACACAGTCTTATCATTAGGTTAATGTTCCTGTACCCAGGAAGCAGTGAACACATCGGTAAGGATGTGAATCATGGACGCAGGTTTTAAACTTATTTGCTCTCTTCTGTGCTAAATAAACCAGCCTCTATTTTAGTCCTAAAGTGGGGAGAGGGATGGAGCTCTATCAGGCCAAGTGAAAAACTTTTGTTCTTGAACTCTCTACAGAAAGGTATTTCTCTCTTTATTTTTTTTATCATCAACTCTTTCTTTCCACCTGATCACACTGTGGAAAATAATACATAGTATGACTCGGAGGTGACTGGCTTTCCTTTAACCCTAGTTTAGAAAATTTTTTCCAAAGTCTAATGGTCAAACTGGGAAGCCAAATGTTAGGTAGAGTGTGCTCTCCTAAACAAGTGGTTGTGGTTCTCTATCTCATCCCATTTTCCCTTTATTTAATGAAGAGTGTAGATGGAAAAGACTAAGGGGAAAAAATCAATGCATTTTCCATGCTAGCAGCTGGTGTATATATCACTCTGGACTCATGTCCAAGGGTGAGTAAGGTTTTATTATTATCTTTTAATCAGCTCACAAAGGGAGGAAACAGTAGGGGCTTAGTAACAGGGATCTGTAGGGGAATCTGGGCACAGGTGAAGTTTGTTATAGCCCTTGCTGATGTTGTTCTTTGGTAGCAGAGCACAGGTAGCTACAAACAAGAGAAATTTATGCTCAGTTCTCCCAGCAGGACCTACCCCCAGACAGGCTGTCTGGTCAGCACTCCATTCCAAGAGAAAAAAAAATTACAGAAAGGAAGAGGTAAGACTCCATTTGCTTTTCTAATGTGTTCTTTTCTCTAAGTTTCTTATGAGTAAACCTTTAGAATGAAAGCCCAGTGGAGAAACCAACTTTACCTCATAATGTGGCTAATTTAAGAGAAGCTCAAAGTCTTGATCACTGTCATCTATTTCTGTCTCTCTGATTTAGCAGACAGATGAAGTGCACTTATAGCTGACAGATGTGGAAATCCATATATAGCCAGACAAATCTCTAGTGGCTACTGATGCAAAATAATATGAGTTGTTTCCGCAAAGGTCAGTTGAAATTTGCATTTGGATTTTTCTTCCTGGGGTGCTTTTAATGATAGGATCAGGTCCTCAGGCTCTTGTAGTAAAATATGCCCTCCAAATTTGTCAATTATGTTAAGGTAAAATCTGGGTTGAAGAAATGTTAAGAAAAAAATGTACACAGAATATTTACCACACACATAGAGAGTAGCTGTAAGATAACTCAATGAGAATTGTGACATTAATCTACCCTTGCAATTACCCTGTTAATTGGAAACTCGATTATCAAAATTAGAGTTCATTAAAGGTAAAATGTTTCTTCTGTAAATTTCACATCCTGTACAAGATAATAGAAAATATGATGCTCAGTGGGGAGACTATTTTATCCACTTGATTCTTTTTATGGCTTACATTTCTGAATACTAAATTGTGATTATCTGTCTCATTCATTCTTTTTAAAGAACTCATCATCACCATTGTTTTTATTTATATAAAGTTAGATTGCTTTCATAAACTATCTAATCCCAACTCTCTGCACTGTGCAGTGTTTGAGTACACTTAATTTACTTCACATTTTTCACTTTTTATTGCTTAAGGAAATAAAGCAGAATTTCAAGATTATTAAAAGCCAATTTAGATCTATATACCATTCCATTATTGACCCAATTTAATAATATTTTAATTAGTCATTTTACTAGCTTGACTCTAGAGTTATAGAAGTGTTGATTGTATAAAAATAAAGGAGTATAATCAATATTGTAACTTAGCTTTAATCAATTTGTTTTGCTTGTAGGGAGTTCTCATTCTGAAACATCCTGAGATTTTTGTGCAATAAAGAATATTATGGTTTTTTTCCTTCTGTTTCCATTAATAGGGCTATTTGTTTGAATGCCATAATTCAAAAACAACAAGAAAAAAGGATAAGCTACTTCAATAAAATTAGCTCCTTATTCAGTGCCAGATGTGATGCCTAAAGACAGCGTATCCCAGTTTATTAAGTTTAGTTGATAACCTTTTCATATAATATAATGCAGGTTGCCTTTATATCCTCATAGCAACCATCTTGATATATAGCACATTACTGGCATTCAGTGAATATTTTATGAATGGATTAGTGAACAGTTAAAACAAATACTGTACTTTCAGGAAATAATTATAAAGCTCCTTTGAAAAGCTATCTAGGTAGTTATTAATATGTATGTATAGGTGTCTGTAAACATATATTTATATTTTTGCTGCAAAGTGTGAAATTTACAGAAATTTACAGAAGAAACATTTTACCTTTAATGACATCATTTGTTCAGGTGTATAAGTATCTTTTATAACAAAATATATATTTAGAGTCAGAATCAGAATCTAATTAAAATGGAAAACCTAAATCTATCTTTCTGCTTCTGAAAAGCACTATACTATAGTCTTCATTGTCCTCAAAAATTTCTGGGAAGAGGAATTCTTTCTTCATGCCAAAAAAGCATATTTCAGTTAGAGTTGAAATGTCATTCTAATTTTTTAATCTGAGTCCCATCTGCTCCTCTCTTAACCTACTTCTTGTCTTGTCAGTGTAATCAGAATAGTCCTCACTCATAATTACTCATGACTGTGATGACTTTAGATAATTCTGCAGTGTCCTCAGACAGACAATATCAAACTCTGAACAACTGTCATCGTTAACAAAGACTCCCTTCTTATTTTTTAAAAAATGCTTTGGGGAAGACTGATTTTTTAAAGTAATATTTGCAAAATATGGATATAACAATTAAAGGTAAGAATTTTGATGTGTAAAACATGAATATGTTTGCCATTAATTGAGTTGCAACAGTGATCACATTTATTTTCTAGAAAAAATCATGCTACAAGGATAGTCAGTTTCCTATTTTTCTCAATACAGGAAACAGTGAAAAAACAAATTTTTCTTCAAAACGTATGCGATATTCTCAAGTTTTGTGTTTGAGATCAAACATCACTTCTAGTTAGCATATGTGGATTACAACATAGAAGACTCTTTTTTAACTTTTATTTTTGGTTCAGGGGTACATGTGCAGGTTTGTTATGTAGGTAAACTAAATGTCACAGGGGTTTGGTGTACAGATTATTTCATCAACCAGGTACTAAGCCTAGTACCCAATGTTATTTTTTCTGATCCTCTCCCTCCTCCCTGCTCTACCCTCAAGGCCCCAGTGTGTGTTGTTCCTTTCATTGTGTCCATAAATTCTCATCATATTTAGCTTCCACTTATAAGTGAGAACACATGGTATTTGATTTTCTGTTCCTGCATTAATTTACTAAGGATAATGGCCTCCAGTTCCATCTACATTCCCACAAAAGACATAATGTCACTTAATTAACAGAACATAATACTGGAAAATAGAAAGCAAAATTCTTATTGTGAACATTGACCTTTCCTTTTTCAGGTATGTTTTATGATTTGTTTAATATTAAGTTCACAATTAGTGCTATAAAGCTTTTCCCCCCATAGATGACAAGTTTATTAAGAATAGAACTTGTGAACAATTCATTTTTAAATATACATGTATGTATTCCATGTCGTTTACCACAGGGCATTGTACATTCCAGGTGATCAAGAAATACTTATGGAATGAAATGAGAGTAAGTTTTTTGCTGGACATTTAATGGTTATAAGGAAAATAAACTCACTGAAGGTAGCTCAAGTTGGTGATAACTTATTATAAAGATAAATGTGATTATAATCATATGCTGCAAACTATACTAGCATGTGGACTTAGAGACACACTAGAAGGTCTAACTAAGGCAGCTCTAGCAAGTTCGCAGGAAAAATTACAAATCTTCACTTTAGTGCCTCACTATTACTGCTTCTTAACAACTTTCCAATGTGTCTTCATCTCTTGGGCTTTCTCTCTTTCTGCTCTAAATCTCTTGCCAGATATTTTCAAGCTTATTCCACTCTTGCCCTGAGAACCTTCTTTCTCAGAAAGTATACCCCACACTCATGTTCATCTAGAACCTCTGTTATAATGTGTACTCTTTTAATAATTCATTGTTCTTGTTTCTATATATCGTTTTTCTTAATTTTGACTCACCTTGTCTCTGAATTGCATTCTTTGCATTTTAGATTTTACAAGTAACTGCTTGCTTCTCTGTGTTTCTAGATTCAAGAACAAGAATTGATTGCCTAACTAACTCAGGGCAGAGCTTTCAAACCAGAACACTCCACTAATATCTAGACAAGCTATGATTTGGCTGCTATTGGGTCATGAATTCCCTATCCAGAAGTAGGGAAGTGGCAGTCATATGATACACATGTGACGGCCCCTCAGCTAACACAGTGAATAGGAAAGTCTCCCACAGAAGTGACTTTAAGTATTGTCTAAAATCTTCATGGCATGACAAATACACTTTTGTGAAACATTATATGAGGATAAAAAAATCTTAATCAACTTATTTTTAAAAATCTTATATCCGAGTTTTTAATGATAAAGATATACATTTTCAAAACGATAAGCTAGAGTTTAAGCTTTTCCCTGTGAGAAAGTTTGGCATTTTAAATGCTACATTAATTCTTTTTAACCCTAGCTTTCTCTTCTTATTTGTAAATCTATTTGTAATTCTTTTTGCTGATGGTGAAAAACCTGGCTTGTTATTCTCAATATATTTACTTATTATAACCAATCCTTCTCTACCATCACTGTTCCCCTCTGTACAAATGACTTCGTCACTCTCCTTGGGCTCTGACACTGTGTGCCGGGCTATTACCACTTCTCTCCCAAGTGGATATTCTCCTTCCTTGCTTCAGCTGGAACAACCCATACATGGCTGCACAGATCTCCCCATTTTGCTCAAGTTTCAACACGCCATGCTGAACTGCCACTACTTCCTTCCTCACAATACCCAGCAACCTATGATACAGTTTGGGTGTGTCCCCATCCAAATCTCATATTGAATTGTACTTCCATAATTCCCATGTGTGGGAGGGACCCAGTGGAAGGAGATAATTGAATCATGGGGACAGTGTCCCTCATGCTGCTATTATGGTGGTGATTAAGTCTCACGTGATCTGATGGTTTTGTCAGGGGTTTCCTCTTTTGCATCTCCTTCATTCTGTCTTTGCCTGCTGCCATCCATGTAAGAAAGGACATGCTCCTCCTTGCCTTCTGCCATGATTGTGAGGCTTCCCAAGCCATGTGGAACTGTAAGTCCAAACAAACCTCTTTCTTTTGTAAATTGCCCAGTCTTGGGTATGTCTTTGCTGCGTGGGAACAGACTAATACAGTAAATTGCTACCAGTAAAGTGGGGCGTTGCTGAAAAGATACCTGAAAACGTGGAAGCAACTTTGGAACTGGGTAAAAGGCAGAGGTTGGAACAGTTTAGAGGGCTCAGAAGAGATAGGAAAATGTTGGGAAGTTGGAACTTTCTAGAGACTTGTTGAATGGCTTTGACCAAAAGCCTGATAGCGATATGGACAATAAGGTCCAGGCTGAGGTGGTCTCAGATGGAGATGAGGAACTTATTGGGGACTGGAGCAAAGGTGATTCTTGTTATGTTTTAGAAAAAGACTGGCAGCATTTTGCTGCTGCCCTAGAGATTTGTGAAACTTTGAACTTGAGAGAGATGATTTAGGGTGTCTGGAGGAAGAAATTTCTAAGCAGCAAAGCATTAAAGAGGTGATTTGGGTGCTGCTAAAGGCATTCAGTTTTTAAGGGAAGCACAGCAAAAAAGTTTGGAAAATTTGCAGCCTGACAATGTGGTAGAAAAGAAAATCCCATTTTCTGAGGAGATATTCAAGCTGGCTACAGAAATTTGCATAAGTAATGAGGAGCCGAATGTTAATACCCAAGACAATGGAGAAAATGTCTCCAGGGCATGTCAGAAGTTGTCACAGTAGCCCCTCCTGTCACAGGCCCAGAGGCCTAAGAGGAAAAAGCGGTTTTGTGGGCCAGGCCCAGGGTTCCTGAGCTGTGTGCACCCTAGGGACTTGGTGCCCTGTGTCCTAGCTGTTCCAGCCATGACTGAAAGAGGCCAACATAGAGCTCAAGTGATGGCTTCAGATGGTGCAAGCCCCAAGCCTTGGCAGCTTCCATGTGGTGTTGAGCCTGAAGGTGCACAGAAGTCAAGAATTGAGGTTTGGGAACCTCTGCCTAGTTTCAGAAGATGTATGGAAATACCTGGATGCCCAGGCAGAAGTTTGCTGCAGGGGTGGGGCCCTCATGGAAAATGTTTGCTAGGGCAGTGCAGAAGGGAAATGTGGGTTCAAAATCCCTACACAGACTCCCTCTTGGGGCACAGCCTAGTGGAGCTGTGAGAAGAGGGCCACCATCCTCCAGATCCCAGAATGGTAGATCAGCCAACAGCTTGCACCGTACACCTGTAAAAGCCACAGACACTCAATGCCAGCCCATGAAAGCAGCCAGGAGGGATGTTGTACCCTGCAAAGCCACAGGGATGGAATTGCCCAAGACCATAGGGACTCATCTCTTGCATCAGCATGACCTGGATATGAGACATGGAGTCAAAGGAGATCACTTTAGAGCTTTAAGATTTTACTGCCCTGATGGATTTTGGACTTCCATGGGCCCTGTAGCCCCTTTGTTTTGGCCAATTTCTCCCTTTTGGAATGGTTGCATCTGCCCAATTTCTGTACCCCCAATGTATTTGGGAAATGACTAGCTTGCTTTTGATTTTACAGGCTCATAGGTGGAAAGGACTTACCTTGTCTCAGATAAGACTTTGGACTGTGGGCTTTTGAGTTAATGCTGAAATGAATTAAGACTTTGGGGGACTGTTGGGAAGGCATGATTGGTTTTGAAATGTGAAGATATGAGATTTGGGAGGGGCCAGGGACAGAATGATATGCTTTGGCTGTGTCCCCACACAAATCTCATCTTGAATTGTACTCCCAAAATTCCCATGTGTTGTGGGAGGGACCAAGTAGGAGGAGATAATTGATTAATGGTGGCACTTCCCCCATACTGTTCTCCTGGCAGTGAATAAGTCTTATGAGATCTGATGGTTTTGTCAGGGGTTTCTGCTTTTGCCTCTCATTCCCTCTTTGCTTGCTGCCATCCATGTAAGACAGGATTTGCAATTCCTTGCCATCTGCCATGATTGTGACGCTTTCCCAGACACGTGGAATTGTAAATGCAATTAAACCTCTTCCTTTTGTAAATTGCCCAGTCTTAGGTATGTCTTTATCAGCAGTGTGAGAAAAAACTAATACAACCGACTTTGCTCACTAACGAATTTTGGACTTAATTATTCATGAAGGGAGAGAGAAGGAGGGAGGAAGAATGGATTATAATTTATCAATTTGTAGGCTCGTCATTTTTTTTAAACCATCAATTTTGTCTATGTTGAATGTACTCCTTGCTGATAGAATTATTTTAGTTACAGAAAAGTTGCAAGGATAATTTGTTTTTTGTGTACTCCACACCCATTTTCTCTCTATGTTAACATTTTAGATGACCACCTCTCATTACTTTTAAGACATTTCATTGACTTCTGAATATCTAGTTTAACTGTCAAGGAACCTACTGTCAGGACAATTGTTACTCTGTTTTAGATTATTCATCTTTTCCTCTTTGACAGGTTTTTTTATTATTATACTTTAAGTTTTAGGGTACATGTGCACAACGTGCAGGTTAGTTACATATGTACACATGTGCCATGTTGGGGTGGTGCACCCATTAACTCATCATTTAACATTAGGTATATCTCCTAATGCTATCCCTCCCCCCTCCCCCCACCCCACAACAGTCCCCTGTGTGTGATGTTCCCCTTCCTGTGTCCATGTGTTCTCATTGTTCAATTCCCACCTATGAGTGAGAACATGCAGTGTTTGGTTATTTGTCCTTGCGATAGTTTGCTGAGAATGATGGTTTCCAGCTTCATCCATGTCCTTACAAAGGACATGAACATATCATTTTTTATGGCTGCATAGTATTCCATGGGGCATATGTGCCACATTTTCTTAATCCAGTCTATCATTGTTGGACATTTGGGTTGATTCCAAGTCTTTGCTGTTGTGAATAGTGCCGCAATAAACATACGTATGCATGTGTCTTTATAGCAGCATGATTTATAATCCTTTGGGTATATACTGAGTAATGGGATGGCTGGGTCAAATGGTATTTCTAGTTCTAGATCCCTGAGGAATCGCCACACTTTCTTCCACAATGGTTGAACTAGTTTACAGTCCCACCAACAGTGTAAACGTGTTCCTATTTCTCCACATCCTCTCCAGCACCTGTTGTTTCCTGACTTTTTAATGATCGCCATTCTAACTGATGTGAGATGGTATCTCATTGTGGTTTTGATTTGCATTTCTCTGATGGCCAGTGATGATGAGCATTTTTTCATGAGTCTTTTGGCTGCATAAATGTCCTCTTTTGAGAAGTGTCTGTTCATATCCTTCACCCACTTTCTGATGGGGTTGTTTGTTTTTTTCTTGTAAATTTGTTTGAGTTTATTGTTGATTCTGGATATTAGCCGTTTGTCAAATGACTAGATTGCAAAACTTTTCTCCCATTCTGTAGGTTGCCTGTTCACTCTGATGGTAGTTTCTTTTGCTATGCAGAAGCTCTTTAGTTTAATTAGATCCCATTTGTCAATTTTAGCTTTTGTTGCCATTGCTTTTGGTGTTTTAGACATGAAGTCCTTGCCCATGCCTATGTCCTGGATGGTATTGCCTAGGTTTTCTTCGAGGGTTTTTATGGTTTTAGGTCTAACATTTAAGTCTTTAATCCATCTTGAATTAATTTTTGTATAAGGTGTAAGGAAGAGATGCAGTTTCAGCTTTCTACATATGGCTAGCCAGTTTTCCCAACACTATTTATTAAATAGGGAATCCTTTCCCCATTTCTTGTTTTTGCCAGGTTTGTCAAAGATCAGATGTTTGTAGACATGCGGCATTATTTCTGAGGGCTCTGTTCTGTTCCATTGGTCTATATCTCTGTTCTGGTACCAATACCATGCTGTTTTGGTTACTGTAGCCTTGTAGTACAGTTTGAAGTCAGGTAGCGTGATGCCTCCAGCTTTGTTCTTTTGGCTTAGGATTGACTTGACAATGTGGGCTCTTTTTTGGTTCCATATGAACTTTAAAGTAGTTTTTTTCTAATTCTGTTAAGAAACTCATTGGTAGCTTGATGGGGATGGCATTGAATCTATAAATTACCTTGGGCAGTATGGCCATTTTCACAATATTAATTCTTCCTACCCATGAGCATGGAATGTTCTCCCATTTGTTTGTATCCTCTTTTATTTCATTGAGCAGTGGTTTGTAGTTCTCCTTGAAGAGGTTCTTCCCATCCCTTGTAAGTTGGATTCCTAGGTATTTTATTCTCTTTGAAGCAATTGTGAATGGGAGTTCACTCATGATTTGGCTCTCTGTTTGTCTGTTATTGGTGTATAAGAATGCTTGTGATTTTTGCACATTGATTTTGTATCCTGAGACTTTGCCAAAGTTGCTTATTAGCTTAAGGAGATTTTGGGCTGAGACGATGGGGTTTTCTAGATATACAGTCACGTCATCTGCAAACAGGGACATTTTGACTTCCACTTTTCCTAATTGAATGCCCTTTATTTCCTTCTCCTGCCTGATTGCCCTGGCCAGAACTTTCAACACTGTGTTGAATAGGAGTGGTGAGAGAGGTCATCCGTGTCTTGTGCCAGTTTTCAAAGGGAATGCTTCCAGTCTTTGCCCATTCAGTATGATATTGGCTGTGGGTTTGTCATAGATAGCTCTTGTTATTTTGAGATACATCTCATCAGTACCTAATTTATTGAGTGTTTTTAGCATGAAGGTTGTTGAATTTTGTCAAAGGCCTTTTCTGCATTTATTGAGATAATCATATGGTTTTTGTTGTTGGTTCTGTTTATATGCTGGATTATGTTTATTGATTTTCATGTGTTGAACAAGCCTTGCATCCCAGGGATGAAACCCACTTGATCATGGTGGATACGCTTTTTGATGGGCTGCTGGATTTGGTGTGCCATTATTTTATTGAGGATTTTTGCATTGATGTTCATCAGAGATATTGGTCTAAAATTCTCTTTTTTTGTTGTGTCTCTCCCAGGCTTTGGTATCAGGATGATGCTGGCCTCATAAAATGAGTTAGGGAGGATTCCCTCTTTTTGTATTGATTGGAATAGTTTCAGAAGGAATGGTACCAGTTCCTCCTTGTACCTCTGATAGAATTCAGCTATGAATCCATCTGGTCCTGGACTTTTTTTGGTTGGTAAGCTATTAATTATTGCCTCAATTTCCAAGCCTGTTATTGGCCTATTCAGGGATTCAACTTCTTCCGGGTTTAGTCTTGGGAGGGTGTATGTGTCGAAGAATTTATCCATTTATTCTAGATTTTCTAGTTTATTTGCATAGAGGTGTTTATAATATTCTCTGATGGTAATTTGTATTTCTGTGGGATCGGTGGTGATATCCCCTTTATCATTTTTTATTGCGTCTATTTGATTCTTCTCTCTTTTATTCTTTATTAGTCTTGCTAGCGGTCTATCAATTTTGTTGATCTTTTCAAAAAACCAGCTCCTGGATTCATTGATTTTTTGAAGGGTTTTTTGTGTCTCTATTTCCTTCAGTTCTATTCTGATCTTAGTTATTTCTTGCCTTCTGCTAGCTTTTGAATGTGTTTGCTCTTGCTTCTCTAGTTCTTTTAATTGTGATGTTAGGGTATCAATTTTAGATTTTTCCTGCTTTCTCTTGTGGGCATTTAGTGCCGTAAATTTCCCTCTACACGCTTTGAATGTGTCCCAGAGATTCTGGTATGTTGTGTCTTTGTTCTCATTGGTTTCAAAGAACATCTTTATTTCTGCCTTCATTTTGTTATGTACCCAGTAGTCATTCAGGAGCAGGTTGTTCAGTTTCCATGTAGTTGAGCAGTTTTGAGTGAGTTTCTTAATCCTGAGTTCTAGTTTGATTGCACTGTGGTCTGAGAGACAGTTTGTTATAATTTCTGTTCTTTTACATTTGCTGAGGAGTGCTTTACTTCCAACTATGTGGTCAATTTTGGAATAAGTGCGCTGTGTTGCTGAGAAGAATGTATATTCTGTTAATTTGAGATGGAGAGTTCTGCAGATGTCTGTTAGGTCCAATTGGTGCAGAGCTGAGTTCAATTCCTCGATATCCTTGTTAACTTTCTGTCTCATTGATCTGTGTAATGTTGACAGTGGGGTGTTAAAGTCTCCCGTTATTATTTTGTGGCAGTCTAAGTCTCTTTGTAGGTCTCTAAGGACTTGCTTTATGAATCTGGGTGCTCCTGTATTAGGTGCATATATATTTAGGATAGTTAGCTCTTCTTGTTGAATTGATCCCTTCGCCATTATGTAACGGCCTTGTTTGTCTCTTCTGATCTTTGTTGGTTTAAAGTCTGTTTTATCAGAGACTAGGATTGCAACCCCTGCCATTTTTTGTTTTCCATTTGCTTGGTAGATGTTCCTCTATCCCTTTATTTTGAGCCTATGTGTGTCTCTGCACGTGAGATGGGTTTCCTGAATACAGCACACTAACGGGTCTTGACTCTTTATCCAATTTGCCAGTCTGTGTCTTTTAATTGGAGCATTTAGCCCATTTACATTTAAGGTTAATATTGTTATGTGTGAATTTGATCCTGTCATGATGTTAGCTGGTTATTTTGCTCGTTAGTTGATGCAGCTTCTTCCTACCATTGATGGTCTTTACAATTTGGGATGTTTTTGCGGTGGCTGGTACCAGTTGTTCCTTTCCATGCTTAGTGCTTCCTTCAGGAGCTCTTGTAAGGCAGGCCTGGTGGTGACAAAATCTCTCAGCATTTGCTTGTCTGTAAAGGATTTTATTTCTCCTTCACTTAGGAAGCTTAGTTTGGCTGGATATGAAATTCTGGCTTGAAAATTATTTTCTTTAAGAATGTTGAATATTGGCCCCTACTCTCTTCTGGCCTGTAGAGTTTCTGCCAAGAGATCAGCTGTTAGTCTGATGGGCTTCCCTTTCTGGGTAACCTGACCTTTCTCTCTGGCTGCCCTTAACAATTTTTCCTTCATTTCAACTTTGGTGAATCTGACAATTATGTGTCTTGGAGTTGCTCTTGTCGAGGAGTATCTTTGTGGCGTTCTCTGTATTTCCTGAAATTGAATGTTGGCCTGCCTTGCTAGGTTGGGGAAATTCTCCTGGATATCATCCTGCAGAGTGTTTTCCAACTTGGTTCCATTCTCCCTGTCAATTTCAGGTACACCAGTCAGACGTAGATTTGGTCTTTTCACATAGTCCCATTTTTCTTGGAGGCTTTGTTCATTTCTTTTTATTCTTTTTTCTCTAAACTTCTCTTCTCACTTCATTTCATTCATTTGATCTTCAATCACTGATACCCTTTCTTCCAGTTGATTGAATTGGCTACTGAGGCTTGTGCATTTTTCACGTAGTTCTTGTGCCTTGGTTTTGAGCTCTCTCAGGTCCTTTAAGACTTCTCTGCATTGATTATTCTAGTTAGCTATTTGTCTAATTTTTTTTCACAGTTTTTAACTTCTTTGTCATGGGTTCGAACTTCCTCCTTTAGCTCAGAGTAGTTGGATTGTCTGAAGCCTTCTTCTCTCAACTCATCAAAGTCATTCTCCATCCAGCTTTGTTCCATTGCTGGTGAGGAGGTGCATTCCTTTGGAGGAGGAGAGGCACTCTGCTTTTTAGAGTTTCCAGTTTTTCTGCTCTGTTTTTTCCCTATCTTTGTGGTTTTATCTTCCTTTGTTCTTTGATGATGGTGACATACAGATGGGGTTTTGGTGTGGATGTCCTTTCTATTTGTTAGTTTTCCTTCTAACAGTCAGGACCCTCAGCTGAAGTTCTGTTGGAGTTTGCTGGAGGTGCACTCCAGACCCTGTTTGCCTGGGTATCAGCAGCGGAGGATGCAGAACAGCAGATATTGGTGAACAGCAAATGTTGCTGCCTGATCGTTCCTCTGGAAATTTTGTCTCAGAGGAGTACTCGGCCGTCTGAGGTGTCAGTCTGCCCCTGCTGAGTGGTTCCTCCCAGTTAGACTACTCGGGAGTCAGGGACCCACTTGAGGAAGCAGTCTGTCCGTTCTCAGATCTCCAGCTGCATGCTGGGAGAACCACTACTCTCTTCAAAGCTGTCAGACAGGGACATTTAAGTCTGCAGAGGATTCTGCTGCCTTTTGTTTGGCTATGCCCTGCCCCCAGAGGTGGAGTCCACAGAGGGAGGCAGGCTTCCTTGAGCTGCGGTGGGCTTCACCCAGTTCGAGCTTCCTGGCCACTTTGTTTACCTACTCAAGCCTTGGCAATGGCGGGCGCCCCTCCCCCAGCCTCGCTGCTGCCTTGTAGTTTGATCTCAGACTGCTGTGCTAGCAATGAGTGAGTCTCAGTGGGCGTAGGACCCTCTGAGCCAGGCCTGGGAAACCATCTCCTGGGGTGCCATTTGCTAAGGCCATTGGAAAAGTGCAGTATTAGGGTGGGAGTGACCCGATTTTCCAGGTGCCATCTGTCACCCCTTTGTTTGACTAGGAAAGGGAATTCCCTGACCCCTTGGGCTTCCTGGGGGAGGCAATGCCTCGCCCTGCTTTGCCTCATGCTCAGTGTGCTGCACCCACTGTCCTGCATCCACTTTCTGACACTCCCCAGTGAGATGAACCTGGTACCTCAGCTGGAAATGCAGAAATCACCCATCTTCTGCGTCGCTCATGCTGGGAGCTGTAGACTGGAGCTGTTTCTATTCAGCCATCTTGGCTCCCTCTCTTTCACTGTTTCTTTACTGTTGATTTCTATAGTTTTTCAGTGTGTCAACATTTAGTTTTATTTGTATTTATTCTCTCAGTATTTGTATTGTACTGATCTGATGACTTATAAGATTTCTTTAATTTTGAAAAATTATCAGCACAACAATTTCTTCAAATATTACCTCCCTATTATTCATTTCATTTTTTTTCTCCTGGAATTTCTACTTATTAAAATGTTAGAATATCTCAATTTTCCATATCTCATAACAGCTATTGAAATATATCTGTCTATCCCTCTCTAAGTCTAGCAGGGAAAACAATAAAATCCAGTTTATTATAATTTTTTAATTTAATCAATAAATTTCTTTTACCAAATCTTTAGTTGTTTTTTAAATATCCACCTATTCTTTTTTCATTTTTACCTGTTTTTGTTGAAAAATTTTGAATATATTTTAAGGGAAGTTCTGCTGTATTGTCTCTCGTTTTGGAAATGCTCAATGTTTCTAATTTAAAGTCTTTGTCAGGATGTTTTATAAAACTAATTTCTCTTTTTTTTTTCCTGTTGCCCAGGCTGGAGTGCAGTAGCTGGAGTGCAGTAGTGTGATCTCAGCTCATTGCAACCTCCGCCTCCCAGGTTCAAGCAATTCTCCTGCCTCAGCCTCCTGCATGACTCCATGCTCAGCTAATTTTTGTAATTTAGTAATTTTTGTAATTTACTGATCAACAGTAAAGATTTGCAATTTAGTAGAGACAGGGTTTCACTGTGTTTCCCAGGCTGGTCTTGAACTCCTGAGCTCAGGCAATCTGCCCACCTTGGCCTCCCAAAGTGCTGGGATTACAGGTGTGAGCCATCGTGGCTGGCATAAAATTAATTTTTCAAAGTGGATGCATGATTGTTAATTTTGCTGGTTGTCTTTCTTAGCATCCAAGTTTTGTTTTTTGTAATTTTGGTTTATCAGTAATTTTTGGATAAGACTTATGTTTTTAGTTTATCTATTTTTTTTGTTTCTCCCCATCTGCCTCTCTCTCCAGCATCTTTTCAGTTACTACCCACATTTTTCTTCAGGACACGAATCTGTAATCAGGCTTTAAATTACTGGTTTACCTTTCTACCCTATATGATGATGGAGTATTTGAGAACTAGTCATATGGCCAGTGAGCAGTTTGGCTGAGTTTTTATTGCCAAGGTTGTGAGTTTTGAAGCCATAGCTTATGTATTCTCAACAGGGATGATACTGTCACCAGTAAGATAAAAATGAAATCGTACAGGTCAAAAAAAAAAAAAAACCTTAGATATTACAATTGCTTGTGACCTTTCAAAGTTCAACCCTGTCCCTAAAAATCGTTATTTTTTTTTAATTTATAAAGCTTATATTAATTCTTACAGGCTGTAGCCTATTATTTTTACAGTGCTGACTGTTGTTTCCCAAAGTATATACAAAAATAATTAGAGTTCAATTAATTACTCCATTTAACCGTTTAATATTTAAGGACATGGAATGTAATATTATATTAAAGGAGCATGTGAGCAAAAATAAAATGAACATTGTGACATGAAGAATAGTAATAAATATAGGAAGATAGATAGATAAAATATAAATAGCTCAAGATAGAAGAGTAGACTACAGTGAGACTCTGTAATAATATCATGTGAATTGAATTAATTTTAAAACTCACCTTTCTGCAAGGGCCAATATGTGTGAGTACACACACACAGAGAGAGAGAAAGAGAGACAGGGAGAGAGAGAAAGAGAGAGTTAAAAGACTGTCAGAGAAGTAGAATGTGAACCAAGAAAGAATATGTTTCATTGAATAAGTCTCGCAGAAAAGTTAATAAGATGCAGAAAGGAGCCTGAGATAAGGAAAGCAAAATGCATTGAGGCGAAAAGATGAGGTTTTATAATCATATCAGTAAAAAAAGAGATAGAAAATAAGTTCACCAATAAATTAGGAGAGGTAGGAAATTAGAGAAATCAGTGATAACCTCAAATGACTGAGATACTAAACTATTGTAACAAAAGAAATAAAAAATATCAATAATTAGAATGAAATACAAGTCCTGCAAAAGTAAAAACTTAACAAAAGCAGGTATAAAACGCTTGAGAAACTTGGCTCAGTTGGGAAAAACACACTGAAATAATTTATTTTGCATGGATTTCAGGAGAGCAACAGACTTTATATGAGTTAATCCAAGAAGTTCCTGTTGTCATTGCTTTATGTTATTGCTATAATGTGCATTAATCCATTAGTATAAATTTCTGCTATGGGGAAACAAATCTATAGTCAAGGGAAGAATAAAGAATTCAGTAAAATATGAGCCCCTGACAACTATTTAGGTGTTAAAAAGGTTATATTTGAAGCTAATATATAACTTTTTTTCTATTCCACAGGCTTGTTTAGTAAGCCAGGTTATTGTAATAAATGTGGCTTAACTCTATATTGGAAATATTTAGAGATAATTTGACACACTGGCTGACTAGACAAGCCAAATACTTGGGCCTCAGTTTCTTCCTTTGAAAACTGGGATATTGTAAAAATCAATGTCAATACAGTAACCACATACATCATGACGACTAATATTACCACTAATTCTGGCATGTGTTTAACACTTTTGTAATCAAGTAGCAATTCCTCCCTTAAATCTTTTTATTTTCCAAACAAAGGTTTTTGAAACCCCCATTATTTTTTTTACTGATCCTGACATTTTAACATTGTTCTACATAATCTATTTTCCCTGGTAAGATTTTTAAAAACTAAGTATAATTTAAACTCTGATTTGAACACAGTCCTCCCTCTGCAGTCACATGTAATCACATAGCATATGTTTCGCAGATTCTATAGTATTATGGCCAGAATCATTTTTACAACAAAAACAAGCTATTTGAAATTAAGTCAAATGTTCAAGGTCGTGTTAATTACTTCTAGTTAGGGTTATAAGTGGCAGTAGATGTTTAGACATGATATCTCTGTGGATATAGTCAAATTCAAATTGAAATGCTGATATATTCTGTTAGATGGACTAGCAATACCTAATGCACCTTTGCTGGATGGTGGTAAATATTGCAGTCTTAATTGTATGTACTTTTCAACCAGAGAGAAAGACCAATTGCAATGATTCAGTATTTCAACTTTTTAAATGATTGTTGTAATAATTAGATATTTTATTATAAGCTGAACTTATTCTACTGTCAATCTAAAAACCTGCAGCTATGGTGAAACTTATAAGCTTAGGAAATCTATTGATTCTTACAAACACACACTGTATTATAGCACATGAATAAATCAGATGAACCAAATCTGGAAATGAATGTGGCTGGGGAAGATGGTGGTTAAGAAGAGCTGTGAACCTGTAACACTCTGGTATCCTCTGTTCTTAATTTTTAAAGCAGAAGTTGAAGGTATATTTAGTGCTTTCCATTATGACAGTGGTTCATGTAATGTGGTCTCTAGATGGGCAGTATGGGCACCACCTGGATACTTGATAGAAATGTGAATTCTCGGGCTCTGCCCTAGACCTACTAATAGGGTCTAGTAATCTACATTTTAACAAGCCCTCCAGGTGATTCTAGTGCATGTTAAAGTTTGAGAACTACTCTATAAATTTTTAAATGATAACATTTGGGCAGAATTATGACATGTTAAGTGGGACAAAATTCATTTGTGTGTGTATTGTTTAGAGATTTGGTCAAAATGAACATATTGGTTAATTTTGAAAAATCCACAAATATTTCAAATGAGTACTCACAATTTATAATAGCATAACTCTTTATACCTGCTAATGTGTCTCACACTGTGAGTTATGCTTTACTTCACAAGAAGTCATAGTATCTGGACATATATCAATTTTAGATTATTTCAGAAAAATGTTTTCCTTAAGTTTGAACAGAACTGGACTAAAATTTTAAATATTCAAAATTTGAAATCACAGATATGTAATTTCTTAGTGTTTTAGATAAAACAATAACAAGAGAAAGATCTTAATACATTGAAGTCTCATAGTAGATTAATTTATGTGTTGATTTCTTCCCTGAACAAGCATTTAAGAACCCATTATGTGTTAGGCCATATTCTTGGACCTAGGAATAAAATCATGTACAAAATAATCTTTCTACTAATAATACGCATTCTTCACTCACCATTTGGAATAAAATTTATCCCCTATTAATTTATCAAAATGTTTTAATTATTCATCTCCTTGATAATATTAGTTCTAAATTATTTTTTATCAAGTATCACTCAGATTAGCATTTGGTATGCCTAGGAAAAAATAATTTCAAAAAAACTAGATTTGGGTCAGTGTACCTCATGCTAACTGGGTGACCTTGAGAAAGTCTATCTTCTGAGCCTCATCTATTTCATTTACAAACTGGTAAAGATAACAGCTCTGAACTTAATCTACAAGACTATTTGCAGAGTGAAGTAGACAACGAATGTGAAAGTTTGCTGTTACTGCTGTAATCTGTGTGGTTTAAAAAAATTATCTGAAATAAATCACTATTTACAAATTAATCAATTGCACACATTTAAATTCTGGCTCTGACACTAGCTCTCTGACCTTAGGTAAATTACTAATCTCTTTGTACTAGAATTCCCTCAATAAAAGATTACATTATTTTGAATTTCATGGAGTTGTGCTAAAAATTAAATGGTAAAATAAAAGTGCTTATACTACTGTTTAATACATTACTTATCTTTATTGAGCACTTACTATCTTCGTTATTATTTTAAAAATTATCACTAAAACAATATTTAGACTAAACCTAAATACTTGGAACTTTGTACTCATAAATATGAGTCCTTATGTTCATAAATAAAATCATGAAATCTCTTCATAAAAGTTAGGAATTTCATTTAAACCTATGCTGACTCCTTGACACATTTTTAGAATATATTCATTTTGGAGAAAAAAATAAGGATCTTAGCTACTACCTTGACTCTTTCTGATGAAGCAATGTTTAAAAGGAGATGGGCTTTATAATCTTTTGGATTTCAGATTAATTTAAATTTTCATTTATTGGTATAATTCTAATGTTCTCCAATGTAAACAAAACCCAACTTTTGGTTATTAAAACTAAGCAAAACCTTTATCAAGGAGCTATTTACTTATTTTAGTTGTATCAGAAAAATAGTTTACCACTTAAGGTAGTTATGGTTTCTCACAAGCTGGCAGCATGTACCACGGCAGGAAAATGTAACCGATAAACTAAAAGGCAGGTAAAAGAATTATACAGGTGGCATCTGACTTAGGATGCTTCAGTGTATGATTTTTAGACTTCACCATGGTAAGAAAGCAGTAAGCATTCAGTAGAAACTGCATTTTGAGTACCTGTACAACCATTCTGCTTTTCACTTTTGGTACAGTATTCAATAAATTACATGAGTTATTCAATACTTTATTATCAAATAGGCTTCGTGTTAGATACTTTTGCCCAACTGTAGGCTAATGTAGGGGTTCAGAGCACATTTAAGGTGGGCCAGGTTAAGCTATGATATTTGGTGGGTTATGGATACTAAATGCATTTTTGACTTATAATATTTTTAACTTACAACGGGCTTATTGGAAGGTAATTCCATTGTAAGTTGAGAAGCACCTGTAGTTGAAATTGGATTTGTGAGCCAACAATATAAACTTACCTTAAATGGTGGTATTGCTCTCTAGCTGCAGGTAGCTCACAAAACCATTTGGACAAGAATTACGTGAGCTCTTTCTGGAGTTGCAGGAGGCAAGGGAAGTACAGGGAAGGGGTTGAACATCTGCAGCCAGAAGGAGAGAGTCATCGCCCCTTTGCAGCTGCCTTCTGAGCCTTATGACCCAGTGAGCTCATGAACCATGTGAGGCCCAGTTTGCCTGGGTGTGGAACATTTCAGATGCGGCCACTGACAGGGCACAAAGCTCTGCATTAGCCTGACTACCAGGCATCCCTGAATAACCAAGGAAATGACTACTCCATGTCTCATAGAGCTGACTTATCCACCAGGGTTAATAGTGTAGCTCTTTGATGGATAACACATCTGGAAGGGAAACAGCAGGAACCATACACCTGCAATATAAATCTCAGAAGGTTTACTGTGTTTTCTTTTTATATTCTCTATTTCAGTACATATGTGAATAGGGTGGGGATTTTTTTCCTCTGAAAAGTTTAAGATTTTTATTTGTGTCAAGTTTCATAGTTCTGTGCTGTACCTGGGCTTTGTTTATGTGTCTTACTCAGACATTCCTTCAAATTTCTACATCCTTTCTTATCATTTTCTGTAATGTACTATCTCATTAGAACTCATTGGAAATGACTACAGGCTTCCTGACTTCAAGCTGAATGGATTTGGCAGAGCACTGAACTTTTTCCTGGCCATAAGCAGATTCTATGAACTGCATTTGCTCTGAAGGTAGTTTTAAATAGATCACATGCACTGGGTAAACTGTTTGTTACAAACTTAGGAAAAGTGAGCATACAAACTATTACTGCTTGTGGGTTGCACTAAAGCATCATAGAAAGGCAACATCCCCACAATAATCAGCACTGTTTGAAATCTAAATATAGTAGAAACAAGCATGTGCATTTCTATACAAGTTGGTCAGCAACAGGCAGAAACAGCCCAAAAATTCAGGAAAAAAATACACTAAATGGGTACCAATTATCAGGATCACAATTTGGAACTTCCTGTCAAAAATTAAAAAGGTAAATATCTTCTACCTAGCAATGACACTTATAGTCTACTTTATTCAGACATGCTTGTACAAGCTTTAAAAAACATGATAAAATTAGTTGCAATAACATTTTTTTGGGGAAATAATGTCAACTATCTACTGGTTTACCAATTAGGATATGTTAAAGTATGGCCTCACGATACTAATATTACACAGTTGTTTTTGAAAGGAATGAAGGATGTGTTCATGTATTGGTATGAAAAATGCTTTATGCTATATTCTTAGTTAAAGCAAAAGCTGCAAAAAATATGATATACCAGTTGTGATTTCTTTTTTTCCTTCCTCCCTTTCCTCCTTCCTCTCCTTCTCCTTCTCTTCTTTCCTCCCTCCTTCCCTTCCTCCTTCCTTCTTTCCTTTCTTCCTTCCTCTTTCTTTCTTTTTTCCTTTCATCTACTTATTTATTCATTCATCTTTCTATCTATTTCTCTAGGCACATAAAATATCTGGAAGAATGAGCAAAGATGAAAAAGTTAACCATGATAATGCATTATACTTTCTGGAGAATGGAGTTGGGAGAATCTGGGTAGGGAAACTTTTGCCTATTGTTTTATGCTTTCCTTTATATATTATCTGTCTATTGCTGCATAACAAGGCAACCCAAGGCTTGGTGACATCAACTAAAATCCATTTACTTGCTTACAGTTGTGTAATTGGCAATTTGGGCAAGGTTCAATTTGGATGGCTTATCTTTATTCTGTGTGATGTCTAGGTTCACTCTTGTGTCTAAAAAAAGTTGGTGGGTTAGTTAGGGACTAGCTAGTCCTGAATAATCTCTCTCACATGTCTGGGGCCTGTGCTGTGCTGTAATGACTTGAGATAGCTAGGCCTCTTTCTCCATGGTTTCTATCTAAGTTTGTTCACAGGGCAGCAGTGCTCCAAGAGGGCAACAACAAAACAAAACAAAACAAAAAACCACAATCTATCTTGAAGCCCAGGCTTGGTTGTCACCCAGGGTCACTTCTGCTGTATTTTATTCTTCAAAGCAAGTAACAAAGCTAGGCTAGATTAAAAGAATGGGGAAATAGACTTCATCTCTTAACGGGAGGAGTTGCAACAAATTGTGGCCCTATTTAGTCCAACACACTCTACTATATGAATGTTTTATAATAAGCATTAATTATTTTAATAAGAATAATAAAAATAAAAAGAGAGGTATTTATCTTTTTTCTGTCGTAAAGTACTGGTTTGCCCAACTACCATCTGTGTCTTTGAGTTACACAAGAGCCTGTTTCTGTTTTCATAATGTAATGTGGTTACTGGTTAGTTAGGAATGATTCTGTAACTTATATACAAAAACAAGTTTTGAGTAAGTTTAGTCTCAGCCAAGAGATCCATTCCAGATGTGAAATTCTAACATCCATGTGAAATGCATATATACTTCACTTTACTAGTAGCCACTAATGACTTAGGCACAATGAGTAAATAGCCTGACATGAAATTGTATTATCTTCCTGTGTGTATGTCTGTGTGTAGCTGTAATAGAATTTAAAATCTCTCTGTCTTATAAACATTTATCATTCAGCACTTTAATATTATAATGTTCTCTACTTTAAGCAATAAGGTCTTATTGAAGGGGAATTTAAATAGAAATGTTATGAATTATTGTAAATGGGTGTTGTAAGTATTCTTTAGTTCTCTCCCAAAATAAATTCAATGGTTAATTGTCTTATTAAATGTAAGTATGCCCTAATCTTTTTATTTCTAATAATGCAACAGGGGAGGATAGTGTGGAGAGGGACAATCCTACCCTGTTGCATTCTTGGAATTTACCTGTCCCCTCATAGTCTGTTTTCTTTCTCTCCTCCCCTTGCTTGATTTTGAGTTTTCTCAGTATAGAAATCCACAGCAGTGAAATATGAATTTTTATGGCAGAATTACATGTCTAGTACTTACTTTGTTTACTCTGTATTTACCTTTTTTTCTTCCCTCTCACTGGTCCTCTGGTTCCCTCTCCTAGTCCTCATTAAAGCAGAAACAAAGAGGCAGAGGCACAAACACAAAAGAACCGCTGGCTAGTGAGCCAAATGATGTGTCTCAGGCAGACATTTGTGTGTAGGGCTCAATTTTTTGTTGGTTTGTTTTGTTTTACTTTGCTCTGTTTATCTCCAAAATGATCTGCTCTGGGAAAGAGAAAAGACAAATGACCCAGAGACAAAACCAATATATGGGCAGGAGAAGACTTAAAGGCCAGGAGTTCTCATAGCAGAAGGGAGAAATGTGCCTGAATTTTTTGTATCCTAACAGAAAACAGAGCCCTCTAATTAGAATAATGCAAGAGCAGTTTAACACAATGTTCATTTTTCAACAGGGGGTAGTCTCTATGTATAAAGAAACCACAAGGATAGTGCAGAACTCTCAGGCTTTTACCATGCTAGGCCCAAAGAGATGAAGGGAGAGATAGTGTGACTCATTGGTCAAGGGACTCAGTCAACTGGGGGTGATCCAGCCAGGTAAGGAGCTGGAGAATAAATATCCTGAAGGCAATCTGCTTTATTCTTTGTTTTCATGGTGTGGTTCCCCATTGGCCAGATCCTAATAAAAGCCAGAAGGCAGAGGAGCTTATTGAAAGGGGGAGGGAGGGAGAAAAGGAGGTGGTTGAGGGAGAGAGAGAGAAAAAGAAAGAGGAAGGGAGAATGGAGAGAATGCATGATGTTGTAGCTGGAAATACCAAAGACAAAAACACAAGACAGGTAGTTTACTGTCTAGTTGTCAAATTTTTAATTATAAACCCTCGGAATGACTTTCATTACAAGAATTGCAAAAACCAATTATGGCAATTACTATTCATCAACCTCATAATTGTTTGCATTCTATTTCCTTCAAAGTTGAGATTGTAAGCTACCTGAGGATAAAGCTCCTACTCATCTTATTTCCTGAAGTGTCCTCGTTAAATATTTGCTGAATCATATTAAATGATAAGTATATGTCATTCATTTTAATCATTTTGGAAAATCAAGAATGGCTCACCTTTAGATTTTTTTAGGGATATGTTACATAGTTCTAGTAATACCATCTTACATTGAATAGGATTATTACATCTCTTCAGCTGCCAATGTTGTGATTATTAATCTACCATAACTTTTGCTGACAGCAGAGAATCTCTGCTCTGACAACTGCAATAAAGTTGATTTGCCAGAGAAGTTTACCAACAGCTTGAAAGTTTCATGATGAAATGACTGGTCAAGTTAGTGTTGATGGCATCTGGCCAGAGTCATCCATCACTAATCCTGGGAAGCAGGGATATCTAATGGTTCCAGTTTTATTCAATCTATTTTATGCAGCCATGCTTGACTATGCAACAGGAGACCTCAGGGTTGATATTAGGATATATTTTGATCCCCTAAAAGGCTTTTCCACTTCAACAACTTGCAATCCTCCTCAAAAGTCCTTGAGGCAGTCGTTCATGAACTGCTCCTTCCTGATGACAACATACCCAAGATGACCTAAAATGGATTTGAGAAAATTTTGTAGGCCTGTGTTAGGAGTTGTCTATAAGCTGGAGATGTCTTAATATATACCAAAGTTTTGCTAATAAAATCCTAAAACAATTCAAAGCACTCAATTTTTAAAAGACATTGCTGACATTTTGTCAGTTCACTAATAATTACCAGGTGAGAAAATTTATAGTGAAAGCATATATTTGTGGATAGCAGATTTATTATCAATAATTATTACATTTCAGCATTTGTTGACTGACTCTACACTGGATTTGAGTGAATCTTAGGATTTCTTCCCTAATAGCCATATAATTGGTATACATTGGACTTACAATGGGAAAGTAATCTAACCACACAGTATTAAAGCTGGAAGAGACCTGAGAATTTATTTAATCAAAGCCTCCTATTCTGCATAGGAGGGTGATTTACTTGATCAGTATCATACAATTAATTTCACAAACTAGGTTATGCACCACATTCCTTAACCACTCCAATTCCATTAGTTCAATGATATTTTCATTATTTCAGTTTGAATGTTGTGGTAGCCAGATTCTAAGGTGGCCCCCAGTGATCCTCATTACTTAGTGTTAATGCCCTTGAGAAGTCCTCTTTCATGTTGTATCAAGGTTGTTATGTGCAAACAATAGATTATAACCTATTATTTCACTTTTGAGCCTAGGTCATACCAGACACTATGGCTTTCTCTTCAGTCATCTTGGTTCTCTTGGGAAAAGCTAGCTGCCAAGTCTGAGCAGCCTGATGAAGGGGCCCATATAATGAGAAACTGAGGACTGCAACCGACAACTGGCAGAGAACAGATACCTCCTGCCATCAACCATGTGAGTAAGCTTAGAAGCAGGTATTCCTGACCCAGTCAGATTCAAAGATGACTGCAGTGCCAGCAAACATCTTGCCTGCAACTTCTTGAGAGGTGATGAACCAGACCACTCAGCTAAGGTACTTCAAGATTCCTGACCTAATCTTGAAACTATGTATATATATTTGGTTTTAGCTGCTAAGTTTTGGGGTAGTTAACATTTATGAAGCAATATATAGCCAGTACAATGTGATAGTAAAAACTTTCTTGCATATGTCAGACTAATATAAAATTTGGAATCATGGTAGGAAATTAGGTATGGGAAGACCATCTAGGCAAGAGTTGGGACATGTAATCCATGAACTCCTGGGCCCATGAATGGGCTTTAGAGGTATGTGAACCACCAAAATTACATGTAGAATTATATGGATATCTGTGTAAATGTGGTTTCTTTCCCCTAAAGGAAGAATCTCATCATTTTCATTTGGTTCTCACAGGCATATATGATTTCCAGAATATTGAGTCACTAGTCTATGGCCCTACTATAATATTATATCCAAGCTCATTGAGTGCAGAGTCAATCATGTTTTTTTAATCATTTTAGAAATTTTTCATAAGCCTTACATAAGGTGTGCACAACAGAAGGAGGTGGGGTGAGTGATTAAGTTCATATATTTGTGTGTACCTATATCTATTATGGCAGGCTCACCATCAATAGCCATATACTTTCAGTTGTTTCCCTACTATCATGCATCCCTCATCCTTTGTTACAGTTATTAAATATTTAGGGATGTTCAATTTGTCACTGTGTAACAATCTGAAGCTGAGTGGCTCAAACCTAGATTGCTTCATTTGTCTTCTTCGTGTAGTACATTCATGAAATTGCTAGAGAGTGAAGCAGCCATTCAGTATGCATAGAAGAAATTTCCCGGACACATTCTGGACCATTTTTCCCTGTGTTTCATTGCAATAAGTTTGTTGTAACAAATATAGACTTTCTCTTAATGTTTTTCTTTGACTTTTTGCAATGCAAAAAAACCCCCATTACTCTCAAATTAAAAAACAAAAACGTCAGAGTCATTTGCTATTTTGACTGCTTATTGCTTCTGTCACAACTTTAGAATTGAACCTAGCACACTTACTCATATCCTGCCTGTCTTTCTTAAGTAGTTAATTATAATATCATGTAATCTTTCTGGGAACCTACCTACATTAACAAAATTGGTTTTCTTTCAATTGTGGCTATAAGTTGATGGATCCCAGTTCACCTATGTTTTTACTAAGGGCACTGCTACTCAGGCCATACAATAGACCCAAGTGTGTTTATTTTGAGAACTGTGTGGAGCTATACCCACCTCCATCTTTAAAGTAATGTTCGAAGTTCCTGCTGGAGTCTTCATGAGCTGTGTACTCATTCACTACTCACCATTGGGCTGGTATTTCACAGGCCTCTGGTAACACATTTCTGTTTAATTCAACAAAAATTAGTTTCCATCTAAAAGTTACCTTTATGATCTTCCCTTTGAAAAGCACTATTTTCTCAGTTCTATTTTCAACGTATTTACTTAAATCTGGGAATGTTTCCAAAAGGAGCTTTTTAAGAAATTATTGTTCACTTGTTGGGGGAAGGGGGAATACATCTATTGGAAGGTCTGAATACTGCCACATGGAGAACAAATGAGGTCAATTAATCCTGGTAATTCTCAAAGTGAAAATACTTTATAACATGAAAAATATAGATCTCACAAATTGATTTTTCCATTCTAGGTATATTTTCTTCCTTTTCTTAAGGAAATACATATAATTGTATTTTTTGTCAAGATGCTAGTTAATACCAACTATTTAGAAAAAAAGAGGATGAAAGCAGATACATATATTTAAGCCACATAAATAATTTATAGCCTTACAATAATGCATTGTGATATAGGCCAGACTCAGCATGGTAATTAAACTGCTTATTAAGTATCTGTTAATGCACACCCACATGTCTCTACCTCTTATAGGCCATTCACAGTTCTGCTCATTAGGCCCAGAGCAAATGACCTACTCTCACATCCCTCTTGCTCCCTTCATTCTTCAAATTATGCACGCATGTAGTCAAAAGATGTTTGCATTGCCTGCTATATGCAATATATATTATGCTGGGCTGTAGGAATACAGAGGTGAAAAAGAAAGAGAAAATAATATTGACTTGAGTGCTGATCTAAACTAATAACCTGGTCCAGTCTCTATTGTACATGAAGCCTAGAATAATAGTCCCACATGTATTCAGAAAATGTCCTTTTCACTCTCTATTAGCACTGCCATGAGCTTTTTGCTGTACTATGATAGAAGAATTTACTAAAGTTTTTCAAATAGCATGTTTTAGAACTTGCATCAGTTTTCACCATCTTCAACCTTACTCATTGAGACTTGGGGAAACCAGATCGAACCTTCTGAGGGTTTTCATGTGGTGCTTATATTAGCCAAAAAAATCATTCCTGAATTGTTTGACAGACCACACTACCTCCTTCTATTTATAGCTTTTTGGGAGATGCACCTGATAGCAATAACTTAAGCATTCCCTGAGAACACAGACACACGTGATCTATGTAAACTGTATGCTTTTTACAAATGGAACTGTTTCTCTTGTCCAGCACTAGACCATCCCTGATATAAGTCCCCCAGTAAAAACCCATATGTCCTTTGCTGGTGCCAGGTCTTTTCCTCGGCCTCTTGAACATGGTGCTATCCCTACTGAAGTTAATAGGGGTCTGTACGACAATTGGCAAGCCCAGTATGAGGTTGAGGAAATCCCCATGAGTGCCAAGACAATGGGATGGGTGAAGAGGAAAATCCTGGGTTGGCCATCCACTTCTATGTGGGAGTCTGTAGCCACTATCTTTAATGAAATGGGGCCCAGTGTGTGAGTAGTGGGACACCCTGTAAATGCTGAAAGGTCTGGAACAGTTGTTGCACAAGGCAGATCTAACTGAGGAAAAGTAAGATGTCTGGGTTCTGGCAGCTGTGGCCACTTCTGACTGCACTCTGAGCAGCCACTGAAGCTGAGCTTCAATCATAGGCAAGAGTTCATCAGTTACAGGATGAGTTGTGACTAGAAAGAGATGCCACATTAATTCAGGCTGAAATGTCAGAGACCTTGGTGCCCCACCTGTGGGACCAGGATAATGGAAAGGAGACCCTGGCTTGTTGGGTAGCCTGTTTGAAGGCTGCCATGTCAATAAGTTGGGGCTTTCATGGCTGAATTGTCCTGGATCTTATGTCCAGGGACTCCATGGAGATGTCTAGTGGGGAGGAGAGTGAGGACCTTTATGAGTCTGCAGAAGTTCCCATGCTCTCCACCTGTCCCATAGTTACTGCCAAGATAAAGACAGACCAACTGCACCTATAGGGAGTAGCCCTACAAGACTTGCTTTCATCTGAAAGGGGGCAAGTCTTGTAGGGCTGCACACCACAATGCAGGGTTGTGCCACTGTGGAATTGTGGAATAGGTTCCTACAGAAGGGAAAAGAGTTGATTGTGGGGTGACTTCTCTGTCTATGGGACATGGGGGCAGAGGATATTATACCCTCCAAATTTAAGGGGAGTTAAATGGCATCCATCACAAACCACCCTGCCCTGAGGCAGTGCCTCTGTGGCACCAATAATGAGAATATGTTCACACTCTCCCTTATATGGGTGGTTGGGGGCTGCATGGCAGCCTGACCAAATAAGGCAGATGTCCCCAAGTCTCTTGTGTAATGGCAGCCTATTGTGGAATTGCAGGACATCCTCCAGGAATTAGGGATGAAGCATGCTATCTATGCTGAGCATTACTGAGGTCTCATAATGAGCTTTTCACTGCCAGTGTGAAAGATAACATCTTATAGTAGGCACCCAACCAATGATATGGCATGCTAATGTCTATCCTGAGCCCCCTGGTAGGACAGCCAGGTCTTGGTGACCCAAGTTGTCGCTGACTTAGGGGAAATGGAGAAACCATGTGAGCAAAGGGTGCATGCGGCTGGGATGAAAGACAAGTGAGCCAAAGGAAAGGAGACAGCTAAGGGTACACTCAGAGCGACCTGCTGACAAATGTAGCATGACACTGGTCACTTTGAAATATACAACCTTTGTTGCTCAGGATAGCCACCCTATTCTTCTATCAAACATTGTGTTTATTTTCTCTTTGTCATTTTGCCCCAGGTATACATACACAACCTCAAAATCTTTCATGTCCTGGGGGCCACAGACCTCTGTAGATAGACTACCCAGGAGGGGGTATATATTTTTCATCCCCCACAGTAAAACCCTGTATCTCATTCCCTGGCTTTGGGTCTCTTATTCAGCCTCTTAAACAAAGTGCTATTCCTGTTGAAGTTAATAGAAGTCCAGCACAATGAATGCACTGATTTAATTTAGGAAGTGTTTATGTCACCTTCATATTTAGAATGTTTATTAATTGTGTTGAGGGTCAGAAATATGAATTTGATTAATAAAGTTAATGGATGAAGATCATGTCTTTTCTATGTTGTGCAAATGGGTGAGCAGTGGTGATCACTAATTTTGGTCTCTTCTTAGGATTTTCAAATGTGAACTATATGCTATGTATGTGATCTAAGAATACTGTCATAATTAGTTTAGGTGACTAAACAAAAGTACCATAGACTGGATGGCTTAAACAACAGAAATTTATTTCTTACAGTTCTGAAGGGTGGGAAGTCCAAGATCAATGTCCTGGCTGATTGGATTCCTAGTGAGGAAGCTCTATGTGGTTTGCAGATGGACACCTTCTTGTATCCTCACACAGAGGAGTGTGAGAGGAGAGGAAGAGGGAAAGAAAGCAAGCTCTCATGTGTCTCTTCTTATAAGGACACTAATCCCATTCACAAGGTTCTGCTTTCATGACCTGGTTACTTCCCAAAGTCCCCTCCTCTAAATATCATCACACTGGGGATTAGGCTTCAACATAGAAATTTAGGGAGAGACAGATATTCAGCCACAGCAAATATATCTTAAAGTAGTTTTCAAAGAAGCCAAAACCAAGGAAATAAATGTCTAGTACTCTGAAATGAAAATTTATATGGTTTGGCTATTTCCCCATCCAAATCTCATCTTGAATTGTAGTTCCCATAATCCCCATGTGTCATGGGAGGGACCAGGTGAAGGTAACTGAATCATGGGGGCGGTTTCCTCCATCCTGTTCTCGTGATAGTGAGTAAGTTGTCATGAGATCTGATAGTTTTTATAATGGGCTTTCCCCTCTGCTGGGCATTCATTCTTCTCCTTGCTGCCACCATGTGAAGAAGGATGTGTTTGCTTCCCCTTCCACTATGATTGTAAGTTTCTGGAGGCCTCCCCAACCATGCTGAACTGTGAGTCAATTAAACCTCTTCCCCTTATAAATCACCCAGTCTCAGGTATGTCTTTATTAGCAGCGTGAGAACAGACTAATACAAGAAATTCGTACTGGTAGAGTAGGGTGCTGCTGTAAAGATACCCCAAAATGTGGAAGTGACTTTGGAACTGGGTAACATGCAGAGGTGGGAATCTTTTGGAGGTCTCAGAGGAAGACAGGAAAATGTGGGAAAGTTTGGAACTTCCCAGAGACTTGGAGGCCTCAGAAGATAGGAATATCTGGGAAAGGCTGGAACTTCCTAGAAACTTTTTGAATGACTTTAACCAAAATGCTCATAGTGATATGGACAATAAAGTCCAGGCTGAGGCAGTCTAGATGGAGATAAGGAGCTTGTTGGGAACTGGAGTAAAGGTCACTCTCGCTATGCAAAGAGACTGGCAGCATTTTGCCCCTACCCTAGACATTTGTGGAACTTTGAACTTGAGAGAGATGATCTAGGGTATCTGGCAGAAGAAATTTCTAAGTGACAAAGTGTTCAAGAGGAAACAGAGCATAGAAGTTTGGAAAATTTGCAGTCTGACTATGTAATAGAAAAGACCCCATTTTCTGGGGAGAAACTCAAACTGGCTGCAGAAATTTGCATAAGTAATGAAGAGCAAAATGTTAGTCACCAAGACAATGGGGAAAATATCTCCAGAGCATGCCAGAGACCTTCATGGCAGCCCCTCCTATCACAGGCCTGTAGGCCTAGGAGGGAAAAATGGTTTGATGGGCAATGCCCAGTGCCCTCTGCTATATGCAGGCTCCAGAAATGGTGCCCTGTGTCCCAGTTGTTTCAGCTCCAGCCATGGCTAAAAAGGGCCAAGGTGCAGCTTGGGTCATGGCTTCAGAGGGTGCAAGCCCCAAGCCTTGGCAGCTTCCACATGGTGTTGAACCTGCGAGTGCATAGAAGTTAAGAATTGGGGTTTGGGAACCTTTGTCTAGATTTCAGAAGATGTATGAAAATGCCTGGATGCCCAGGCAGAAGTTTGCTTCAGGGGCAGGATGCTCATGGAGAACCTCCGCTAGGGCAATGTATAAGGGAAATTTGGGGTTGGAGTCCCCCCACCACACACAGAGTCCCCACTGGGGCACTGCCTAATGGAGCTATGAGAAAAGGGCCACCATCCTCCAGACCCAAGAATGGGAGATCCACTGACAGCTTGCACCATGCACCTGGAAAAGCTGCAGACACTCAATGCCAGCCAGTGAAGGCAGCCAGAGAGGTGCTGTGCCCTGCAAAGCCACAGGGGTGGAGCTGCCAAACACTGTGGGAGACTACCTCTTGCATCAGCATGACCTGGGTATGAGACATGGGGTCAAAGCAGATTATTTCAAAGCTTTAAGATTTAATTTCTGCCTTGTTAGATTTCGGACTTGTATGGGACCTGTAGCCCCATTGCTTTGGCCAATTTCTCCCATTTGGATTGGGTGTATTTACCCAATGCCTGCTCCCCCCTTGTACTAGGAAGTAACAACTTGCTTTTGATTTCACAGACTCATAGGTGGAAGGGACCTGTCTTGTCTCATATGAGACTTTAGACTTGGACCTTTGTGTTAATGCTGGAATGAGTTAAGACTTTAGGACACTGTTGGAAGGGCATGATTGTGCTTTACATTGTGAGGACATGGGATTTTGGAGGGGACAGGGGTGGATTGATGTGGCTTGGCTGTGTCCACCCCCCAAATCTCATATTTAATTATAGTTCCCATAATCCCCATGTGTCATGGGAAGGACAAGTGGAGATAAGTGAATCATGGGGGCAGTTTTCCCCATCCTGTTCTTCTGATAGTGAGTCAGTTCTCAGGAGAGATGATGGTTTTATAAAGGGCTTCCCCCTTTGCTGGGCACTCATTCTTCTCATTACTGCTGCCATATGAAGTAGGACAGGTTTTCTTCCCCTTCCATTATGATTGTAAGTTTCCTGAGGCCTCCACAATCATGCTGAAGTGTGAGTCAATTAAACCTCTTTCCTTTATAAATTACTCAGTCTCAGGTATATCCTAATAGCAGTGTGAGAATGAACTAATACAGAAATGAAAGAAATAGGAGTCAGAGGGTGAATAAATATAAGGCAGAAATCATGAAGAGAAGAAAATCAGTAATTTCATGGAGAATATTACCATAGTATTCTTGGAGAGAAAAAGGATTAGCTGATATAATTATCCAGTGAGATAGTTGCATAAAATTACCAAGGGAGATAGTTACATAAAGCTAAATCTGTACAAGACATCCCAACGACTGGATGTGAAAATTTGAGATTTTTAATCATTAAATCTATAAGAAATATAAATCAAAGGCTTAAAAACTTGACTGTGTATACACTTTAAATGGAGTTTATAACATTTCAAGCTGCCTTAACCACCCCCACACAATTGTCTTTGAGAGTATTGTGTATTTGTTTGTTTCATATTTACTTTTTATTGAACTATATTATATAGAAAAACACACAAATTATGTCTGCAGTGCATTGCATTTTCACCAGCTGAAGGCAATTGTTTAACTAGCACCAAGATGAAAAAGTATCAACACCCAGAAGCTTCCCTCATTTCCCTTCTTTTCAACAATCCCATATCAAAGGTAACCACTCTTCTGGCTTCTAAAACTGTAAATTGTTTGGTTAATTTTTGAACATCTCACGAATGAAATCATAGTCTGAAGTCTTAGCTCAGTTTTTTTTTCCTGCTCAATGTCATTCCTTTGAGATTCATCATTTTTTTTATGTATTTGGGTTCATTCATTCCCATTGCTGTATAGTATGCAGTTCTCTGAATATGGCACAGTGTAATTATCCATTCTATTTTTTGCTGATGGGCAAAAATAAAGAGCATTTTGGAAACTATCAGTTTGGGCCTAACTAGCATTATGTTGCTAGGTACATGCTAGAACTTGTCTTCTGAATCGTAGGGTAGGTACATATTTAGCTTTAGCAGGTATAACCAAAGAGTTTTAAAAGAAACTTGTAAAGCTGTGCTTAATTACAAATATAACCGCTGATAGATAGAAGACTAATGGCTGAATTTACAGACTATAAACAAACTTGTGTAAAGGAATTAATGAAACACCAGACTATGACTAATTCCCTCCATCAAAAGCCTTCCATGCTTTCTGTCAAAAAGCACATCTATTGAGGACGAATGTACAGACAATAGTCGTTCCTCTCCTGACATCCACGTGGCACCAGCACCTCCAAAAGTGTTTCACTGAAACGCTAAATGTTTGGAAGTGCTTCTGTGTCAAAACCTGCCTGAGACTGGAGTGAAAGAGGACAAAATAGGATTTATATTAGATCATATCTACTTCCTCATAACCTAGGCCAAGTGGGTTAATAGAAATATTACTCAGCAAATGATGAAGTTAGCTGTATGAATGTTATCTTTTCTGTTGAAACAGGGAAATTGGGAGAAAGATCAGGTACACAAGAGGTACAGATACAGATGTAGACATTTATCTATGTATCATAAATTTTCTTAAAGTAATAATTTTTTAAATGTGGCACCCTCACTAAGCCATGAGCTTTGAATTTAGGGAGGAAGAATTCATACAACCTTAGCTGCACACTCTGTTGTGTTAATTTAATGTTCATTTAGTCAGTTACTTATTTCAAGTTTATTTACTATGTCTCGATAGATATAATCTGTTTTAGTTGTATTAGGATGAATAAAAGAATATATTGTGAGCATGGACATTGGTCGGGCATCTTGGCTCAAAGTAGATGGTTGAGGATATTCAGCAAAGCTAACTCTGGTATCTTAGTTCTGAAATGTATCACAGGTTTTCTTTCTTCAACAAATACCCTAAATACAATTTTTGAACATGTGACAATACATAAAAATAGATTGTATTTCTTAAGCACTAATAGTTGTTTAAATGTAAGTTAAAACATATGCATTCGCATGCAGGCACACCTGAATGATTCTCACATTAGTGATTAGGCAAACTGGGAAAAACTACCATGACCATTTTTAATGTCTTGTAGGGAACTAAACCATTAGAGTAAAATTGTTTTTAAAACCCTAAAATTAGTTTAAGTAATTTTGAAGTTATGATCCCCCCATCTTAGCTTTATTAGTTTAGATTATGTAACATTTTGTCATAGTTCATGCTACTGACTGAATTTTGTCCCCCCTCACCCCAGGTCCAGGTGTTGAAGTCCTAACCCCAAATGTGACTGTTATTTGGAGATAGAGTCTTTAGGAGAAAATAAAGTTAAAAGAGGTCATATAAGGATGGGGCCCTGATCTAACAACATTAGTGTACTTATAAAAAGAGACCAAAGAGCTTTCTCTCTCTTCACCAAGAGAGAACAGTGAGAGAAAGCAGCTCTCTTAAAGCCAGGAAAAGAGCCTTCACTAGAAACTAACTATGCAGGACCTTGATCCTGGACTCCCCAGCATCTCAAACTCTAAGAAAGTAAATATCTGGTGTTTAGGCCACCCGGGCTGTATTGTTTTGTTATGGCAGCTTGCACAGACTGAGATAGTTCATTTAAAAAGTTGAACTTTTTCCCTTAGTTCTTAGGAAAGTCCTCACCTTTAGAGAAATGAGTTCATACTGCATAGTGCCTGAAGAAAAAAAGGAAAGGAACACAGCACTTGAAATGTATTATTCTTCTTTCCTGTTTAGACTCCTAGAGGTTTCATAAAATGGCCAGCACAGACGAGAAATGGAATCTCATCACCAACTAGATTGCATGTTAATTTTCAACTGATTTGCAGACATTTCACACTTTAAGCTCTGAATGGGGACTTCCTTTGGGGGCACTGGCACCTCTGACAGTGGCATACAAACATTTGATTTAAATTTTATGCTCTATCAAATCCACACTACTCATGCTAATAATATATGTACAGCCTTTATAGTTACAAATTTTTATTCCTCTTACTGATTCCCAACTAAGCATGAACCAGTGATATACAAACTGACTCCTTTCCACTCCCATCTGCCATCTTTATTCTATCCAGGAATATATTTCTTTTATAGAAATTCCAACTCTGTCTCAGAAGTCCTGATGTTTCAGAGTCTTCATTTTGCTCTGCCTTTATACAAAGATATTTTGAAATGGTAATATCACTTGTAAAGAGTCCTTCCTTCCGCTGGGACTGGTAATCGTGTTTTGTATTGTTTCTGAAGTGTGACATGGGAAAGAGGTAATATATCTTTCAAGCTGAATGCTTTCACTGTCACTGGTTTTCATTTTTCACACAGGCTTTGACATATTTCAGTATTGTTGGTGGTGATACTGTGAAAAGCTTTGAGGCTGATTCATCAACATCCCTGGCTCTTTCCCCTTCTTTCTTTTTGCATAAAAATTGTAAAACTTAACGAATGACGACTAGCTTAGCAGTGTCGTTCTTTTTAAATTTTTCCTGAACTTTTTACCTTGGCTGGTATTGATTTCCTTTGCTGTTGTCAGAACAGCGGATTGAGTCGTTGTTGTGCATTACCCTTTAAAAATCAATATGTGACTTTTTCTATAGAATGATTTAAATTTTGGCATACAGTCTAATAATCCAAGATGTATATGTGAAACTATACCAAAATAGTTATTTGGGGATGTTTAATGTATTTATAAAAAATTATGATGATAAACACCCAAATAGCTTCATAATCTTATACATCAAAATATTCTGATAAACCTCAATTTTTTATACCTTTACTTTGAGCAGAGGTATACACAGAAAATTCTATATACAGAGAATATAATTATCACGTAAATTTTCATCTTCCTTTAAAAGTGTTACTTATTCAAAACTTGGTTAAAAAAAAGCTTTGTAATAATGAATGAGCAGAACAAAGAAATTATTATGGCATTATGGGAAACTTTAGTAGTAGACAATGAGAATAGTTCCATAATTATATTATTTTTAAGCAATAAATGTAGAACCCTCTACTGACTCTTAAATTTACTATTAGTTGTTGTTTTTGTTTTGTTTTTTTTTTGAGACAGAGTCTTGCTCTGTCTCCCAGACTAGAGTGCAGTGACATGATCTTGGCTCACTGAAACCTCTGCCTCTGGATTCCAGCAATTCTCCTGCCTCAGCCTCCAGAGTAGCTGGGACTACAGGCATGTTACCATGACTGGCTAATTTTTATATATATTTTTTAGTAGAGATGATATTTCACTATGTTGGCCAGGCTGATCTCAAACTCCTGACCTCAGGTGATCCACCCGCCTCAGATTCCCAAAGTGTTGGGATTACAGGTGTGAGCCACCACGCTTGGCTTATTACTATTTTTATGAGAACTTTTCAAAGGTATCTATAAATAGTAGTGACATTTTTTCATTATTCACATCTTTAATTAAAAATTTAATTTAATTATATTTATTTTTATAAGTACATATAACATACATTCTTATCTAGGATCCTAGGATGCATAATTGTTTTCTGTGGCAAAAGTCAATCCATGTATAATAATCCACTACACAATCACACACAGAAGTGCCATTTTTTTTTTACATCACCATATTAGTGGTTTACAGTCCAATAAAACTATATTGCCATTTTATTTGCATTTGCTCTGTTACTGCTTATGGATACAGCTTGTCACAGGATTTCTTTAGCCCCCATCAGTTTCGTTATGTTATAAAATATTAGGTTATCTCATATTCATTTTTGTTACATTGCTCCAGTACACAACTTATGCTAAGTTGCTTCATTCATTACTGTTACAAGAAAACAAGATTTATAATTCTTTACGTTCATGAGCAGTCTAGATGAGAATCCCACACACAAAATATTTAAAAGATTTGAGCCCCAAATAAAACTCTCTTATAATAAGGAATGTTGTAGCTTTCATTGTAAAACTTTGTGTTTGTAGTAATTCAAATCTAATTTATGCTGATAGTCTGCTTGAAATCAGGTAAAGTGGGCTGAGTTTTAAATTTCAAATTTTATTTTTGATACATCTAATTCTCCTTTTCTCATAAAGTGGTAACTTTTTAAGGTCCTTAAGGTTTTTTTTTATTCAAGTGATTAAAAGAAAGAATTCTACCTGCAATTTTAGCCCCACAAAGTTAATTTTGAGAGTTTCATTGAAAGTTACTTTTTCACAGATATCTTGCTTACAGGATTGAATTAATCTGTTTTCACACTGCTGATAAAGACATACTTGAGACTGGGTAATTTATAAAGGAAAGAGACTTCACGAACTCACAGTTCCACATGGCTGGGCAGACCTCACAATCATGGAGGAAAGTGAATGGCACATATTACATGGTGGCAGGCAAAGGGAAAATGAGGGGGGCAAACAAAAGGGGAAACCCCTTATAAAATCATCAGACCTTGTGGGACTTATTCACTACCATGAAAAGAGTATGGGGGAAACCAACCCCATGATTCAATTATCTCCCACTGGGTCCCTCCCACAGCACTTGGGAATTATGGGAGCTACAATTTAAAGATAAGATTTGAGGGGGACACAGCCAAACCACATCAAGGATATACAGTTGTTTTGGTATAAACACATTCCTTTTTCTTCTTCTTATTGGCAAGTAAAATAATGATAACAATGTATTGCTCTTAAATCTCAGAAATGGTTATGTGACATGGTATTATAAAACATAGAACTTTAATTTTTTAACGGTACAGATAAAACATGACCAGATATATACTTTTTAAGTCCATTTGTATTACTATAAAAGATTACCTGAGGCTGGGTAATTTATAAAGAAAAGAGGTTTATTTTGGCTTATAGTTCTGCAGGCTATACAAGTGTGGCACCAACATCTGTTCAGCTTCTGGTGAGGGCCTCAGGAAACCTATAATCATGGTGCCAGGTGAAAAGGGAACAAGAACATCACATGGCGAGAGGGAGAAAAAGAGAGAAGGGGGAGGTCCCAGACACTTTTAAATGATCAGTTCTCACATGAACTAACTGAGTGAGAACTCATCATCAAGGGGACGATGAATGCTAAGCCATTCATGAGGGTTCTGCCCCCACAATACGATACCTCTCATTAAGTCACACCTCCAACACTGGGGATAACATTTAAGCATGAGATTTGGAAGGGACAAACATCCGAACCACATCATATGTGGAAAATATGTGTATAGACATATATATATATTGTACATATATCCACATATGTTTAAAGTATTCGTGTGTGTGTGTGTGTGTGTATGTGTGTGTGTAAAAGAAAGCTAAAACCATTCAAATGTATGTATCTGTATTTTTTCAGTTCATATTACCTTTTGGGCAACTTTGGACATTATTGAATTTTTTTCAAGAGCATAATTTTAATGACTAAAATATTTTACCTTGTACATGTACCCTAATTTATCTGGCCACTTTACATTGTTAGGCATTTATGTAGTTTTGGTTTTTTACTACTGTAAATAATAAAATGTCTATTTTAAAAGCCAAATTTTAGGCTTACTCATTCAACCAATAGTCACTTTATTGGTATTTGTTGATTAAATGTTTTTGATTTGTCAGGCAGTCTTCTAGGGTCTGGCTGTAGTGTGGAAACAAACAAAAAATGCATAGTAACACTTTGCAAACTAATGTAAGTGAGTATCAGAAAGGTTTTAGGGGCCACCATCTCTTAATTTTTATATTTTCTATATAATATATTGCCAGAATATTTTAATCAACATATCTCAGAAACCCAAAGAAAATAAACTTATTATCAGGAAATCTTACTTGAAAATCTTTTCTTTTTCCTGTTCAGCAAATTCAATAAAAAGCATATGTTTCCTTTTTTCCCCACTACACATAGATTTTATATATGAATAAAATCCTGAAGTTTTTAGTTCTGAACTACAAAGTGACATTTTGCAGTTGTTGTTGTTAATTGGTGTCCCAGTCTATTATGTTGATTATCCGGTAGCCACCAAGATAACTTCCCCTCACTTTCTTAGAATCTAATATTTTCCTTTTTACTTTTACTTAGAGCATATCCATTAATATTGGAACTCAATTATGATATAACTTCTAAATTCAAAGCTCCTATGCTTGATGATACTTCTTACAGCCTAAAGAGTTGATAAATGATCAAGTTAAACATAGCACAACTTACTGTAATACATATATTTATAGGAAAAAGATAAACTATATTTGTATAGCTTAAGAATTTAATCATAACCCAATTTCTAGAAAGCCGCAGTATTTTAAACATGAAATAAATCTATACTTGTTTTCTGTGAATCTTTTTTTCTCAAACTTTATTGAAGAATTAAACCTCAATTTTAAAATATGAAGTCTTGGAAATCAGGCCTTCTTTCAGCTGTATTTGTTGCAGCATCTAGTACATTCTGATCTATTTATAGAATGAAGATTTCAAATTCAGATCAAATAATTGAGAAAGCCTTTCACAAAAAGGGATTGAAGGCCACAAACAGGTCATATGCTATGAACATTCTCTCAGTTGTTTACTATATAGTATTCAATATATCTTTATTGAACTTCTATTATGTTCTAGGTTCTTAACAAAATACTAGCTAACTGAATCCAACAACATATCAAAAAGATAATCCACCATAATCAGGTGGGTTTCACACCAGGGATGCAGGGATGGTTTAACATACGCCAGTCAATAAATGTAATACACCACATAAACAGAATCAAAAACAAAAATCATGTGATCATCTCAATAGATGCAGAAAAAACATTTGACAAAATCCAGCATCCCTTTATGATTAAAACTCTCAGCAAAATAAGCATACAAAGGGACATACCTCAATATAATAAAAGCCATCTATGACAAACCCACAGCCGACATCATACTGAATGGGGAAAAGTTGAAAGCATTTCCTCTGAAAACTGGAACAAGACAAGGATGCCCACTCTCACCACTCTTCAATATAGTACTGGAAGTCCTAGCCAGAGCAATCAGGCAACAGAAAGAAATAAAGGGCTTCTAAATCGGTAAAGAGGAAGACAAACTGTCGCTGTTTTCTGATGATATAACCATTTACCGAAAAACCCTAAAGACGACTCCAGAAAGCTCCTAGAACTGATGAAAGAATTCAGCAAAGTTTCTGGATACAAAATCATTGTACACAAATTAGTAGTTCTTCTATACACCAACAGTGACCAAGCTGAGAATCAAATCAATAACTCGACCCCTTTTACCATAGTTGCAAAAAAATAAAATAAAATAAAATACTTAAGAATATACCTAGCTAAGGAGGTAAAATAACTCTACAAGGAAAACTACAAAACACTGCTAAAAGAAATCATGGATGACACAAAGAAATGGAAACACATCCCATGCTCATGGATGGGTAGAATAAATATTGTGAAAATGACCATACTGCCAAAAACAATCTACAAACTCAATGCAATTCCCATCAAAATACCACCATCATTCTTCACAGAATCAGAAAAAACAATTCTAAAATTCATGTGGAACCAAAAAGGAACCCATATAACCAAAGGAAGAATAAGCAAGAAGAGCAAATCTGGAGGCATCATATTACCTGATTTCAAACTGTACTATAAGGCCATAGTCACCAAAACACCATGGTACTGGTATAAATATAGGCATATAGACCAATGGAACAGAATAGAGCACCCAGAAATAAGCCCAAATACTTACAGCCAACTGATCTTTGACAAAACAAACAAAAACATAAAGTGGGGAAAAGACACCCTTTTCAACAAATGATGCTGGGATAATTGGCTAGCCACATGCAGGAGAAAGGAACTGGATCCTCATCTCTCACCTTATACAAAAATCAACTCAAGATGGATTAAGGACTTAAATCTAAGACCTGAAACTATAGTGAGTTCACTTTTGACAAAGGTGCCAAGAGCATACACTGGGGAAAGGGCAGTCTCTTCAATAATTGGTCCTGGGAAAACCAGATATCTGTATACAGAAGAATGAAACTAGATGCCTATTTCTTGCCCTGTGTAAAAAAATCAAATAAAAATAGATTAAAATACTTAAATCTAACACATGACACTACAATTTTATTAGAAGTAAACATTGAGGAAACACTCCAAGACATTGGTTTAGGCAAAGATTTCTTGAGTAATACCTCAAAAGTATAGACAACCAAGGTAAAAACGGACAAATAGGATCACCTCAAGAATCAAGAACCATATCAAGGATTACATCATAAACAGCTTCTGCACGGCAAAGGAAATAATCAACAAAGTGAACAGAAAACCCACAGAATGGGTGAAAAATACTTGCAAACTATCTATCTGACAAGGGATTAATAACCAGAGTATATAAAGAACTCAAATAACTTAATAGAAAAATCAAATAATCCAATTTAGAAATGAGAAAAAGATCTGATTAGCCATTTCTCAAAAGAGGAGATGGCCAACAGTTATATAAAAATAAGCTCAATATCACTAATCATCAGATAAATGCAAATAAAAACTATGAGGTATTGTCTCACTCCAGTTAAAATAGCTTTTATCCAAATGTCAGGCAAGAACAAATGCTGGCAAGGATGAGGAGGAAGGGGAACTCTCATATGCTGTTAGTATAAATGTAAATTAGTACAGCCACTTGTGAGAACGATATGAAGGTTCCTCAAAAAACTACAAATAGAACTACCACATAATCCAGCAATCTCACTGCTGTGTATGTATAACCGAAAGAAAGAAAATCAGTATATCAAAGAGGGATCTGCACTCCCATGTTTATTGCAGCATTATTTACAATAGCCAAGATATGGAATCAACCTGTGTCCATCAACAGATGTATGGATAAAGCAAATATGGTAAACTTACACTATTGAATATTATTCAGCCATAAGAAATAATGAGATCCTGTCATTTGCAATCACGTGGATGGAATTGGAGGACATTATACTGAGTGAAATACGTCAGGCACAGAAAGACCAATTAAGCGTGTTCTCATTCATATGTGGGAGTTAGAAATGTAAAATTACTAAACTCATGATGATGGAGAGTGGGAGGAAAGTTATCAGAAGCTGGGAAGGGTAGTGGGGAGATGGGGATAAAGTAGGAATGGTTAATGGATACAAAAAATACAGTTAGAGAGAATGGGTAAGATTTAGAAAAGGAGTAAACAATCCAAATGGTCATCAATGACAAATGCATAAATAAAATGTCACATATACATCCAATAAAATATTATTCAGCCTTAAAATAATGAAATTCTGACACATGCTCTAACATGGATGCCTCCTGGAAAATATTAGGGTAGGTGATATTATGCTAAGCCAGTAACAAAAGGACAAGTATTGTATGATTCCACCTATCTGAACTACTTAAAATGGTCAAATTCATAGAGACGTAAAGTAGAATAGTATTTACCAGGATTTGGAGGGAGGAGTAATGGGGAGCTATTTTTTTAATAGGTACAGAGTTTTTGTTTGGGGTGATAAACATTTTCTGGAGATGAACAATGGTTAATGGCTGTACAACAACGTGAATATACTTAATGCCACTGAACTGTACAGTTGGAAAATGTTGAACATAGTAAATTTTATATTATATATCTCTTATCCCAATGAATCCAAAAAGTAAAAAAAATAAAAAATAAAAAATCCTCTGAACCACAGGAATACACTGGCTTTATGAAGGAGCCAGAGAAGGCTGTATCTAGAACAGGTGTTTGCTGAAGCTGAATAGGATTTTGGTGGGGAGACATAAAAAAAAGGACAGTTCATGCAGAGTAACAATAGTAACAATAATCTCAATGGCAAGGGGATATGCAAAAGCATCTCAATATTTTGGAATCTCAAATAGTTCTCCGTGGCAGGAGATACATGGTTGTACATGAAGAAATAGAATTCAACCTGGAAAATGTTAGCTGGGACCAGGTTACAAATTGTTTGTAGCCGATTACATTTTCCAAAGACAGAAACACTATTTTCTGCCTCACATACCCTTATAGTACCTTGCCACTGCCTCACCAATGAAAGATAATCTAATTCCTTTCCCTTTGAGTCGAGGCAGATTTGTGACCTGCTGGTAAACGATGGGATGTTGCATAAGTAACACTGCGGGGATTCTGCAGGACTCAGACTAAGTCACAAAAGATGATGCAACTTTCACACAGTGCCCTAGAGTTGCTCTAGGAGCCTTCAGTCACATCATAAGCAATTTGGCCACCCAGGGACCACCATACTGTGAAGAAGCCCAAACTAGCCCATACGGAGTGACCACATGGATAGGACCAGACACTAGGTGAAGGGAGACAGATGCCCTGCCAGCCCTCAGCTGCTGCAGCCCCCACTTTCCAGCTCCAGCCTCTCTCTGACTGAAACCTCAGCAGAGACTCTGAGCCTGTTCTGTCTAGCCAAGCCTGCCTCCAATTTTTGACCTACAGAAACCATTATAGACAATAACATCACTGCTGTTTTGAGCCATTGAGTTTTCAGGTGATATGCTACAGATTACACAGCAATAGCGTACCTGAACAATGTCCTATGTTAGGCTTTGGATTTTGAGCTAAACTACACATTAATTTATGTGTATCCTCTCCTGGTTTTGTTTTGTTTTGTTTTTGTTTGGTTTACCTTTTTTTAATACTCCTTTCTTCACCTGAAATGCTACCCACTGAGGCTTTTGTCTATTAAAGTCTTTATATTACTTAAGAGTCAATTACAAAATATTGATCACTCTTGCTCTCCTAAGTGAAAGGAATTGTGCCCTCTTTTGAATAATAGTATTTGCTTTCACTGTGCAGATGGCATTTATTGCATTTTATACCACTTTTTGATCAACTATGTTATCCTTCAACAGAATGTAAGAGACTTGCAGCCAGGCATTGTACTTTTTATGTCTTTCTGGTCTTTCCAATGTCCAGCATTGTGCTTTGGAATTAGTACATTAATATTATTTGAAAATAGTTACTGAAGGTACATAGAACAGGGAAAAAAGGTATAACTTACAGAAAGTTAATTTTATCTAAGTAATATTACCAACTTTCATGAATTTAATCTTTGTTCTTCATTCATGTTTAGACATCTATTTATTTTAATTATGTATATTAGACGAAATCTTAAGAAAAACTAAGGTTAGTTCATTTAGCCCCTAAGAGGGCTAATTTGGAAAACTAGCCAAAATATTCAGAAATATCAAGAATTATTGAGAATTCTTGTGCTAGATGTATAACCACAACTTTTATGTCTATGTAAACCAGACAGACTTTGCTTTTAATAACAACTCATCCAAATTTTGGAAATTGTCCAGGAAAATACCAGCTATCCTAACAGCCAAGTTTCCCACCTATTTTCTGGCACCAGTGAATGCTGAGAAATGAGTGCAGGAATTGCTTTTATTTCTAAAGCTACATCATCCTTTAAGCTAAATAAATGACTAACTAGCATACTTCCAGCAAATACAATTCCTTGTTCTGGCCTCCATGAAATCATCTGTGAGACAGCAAGCACACCTTTCTTTAGATTAAAAAGTTCTGCTAGACTTGAGATAATTAGTGCAGTAATGGAGATATCTAGCAATGCAACCATAAAATAATAAATGTGTCAAAGAGAATGCGATTTAAGAAATGGTGATATGAGTTATACTAGAAGTTGTAATTTCATGTTTTCAGAGGAATTTAAAGACTTGCTCAATGCCAGCATTAGAAGAAGGCAGTTAGAAAGTTCCTTCTTTTTTAGACAAAAATAAAAGGTAAAGAGAAATGCAAAATCTGGAATTCCTGTACATTTTGCTCACCACTTTCAAGTTTTATTTCAAGGTCTCAACTACCACTCTGTTGTGTCTAGAATTAATCTGTGAAAAATCAGCTTAGAAAGGCGAGACTGAAGATGAAATCAATTTAATTTATAATGCAGGTTGGGAAGGAAAGGCGAGAAGTACAAGGAAGGCTGGTTACATCAACACCATTTACTGAGGTTGATTATTTGGCTCTCCAGAAAAAATAGCCAATGTCAGACTTTGCCGTTCTGCAATGACACTACTATAATGGTAGGACAAGCGAAGGACACTTCTGAAGGGGCAATGTCAATGCACAGTATTTGGCCTTGCTTTCGGAGACTTCAAACTCCCTGGAAGTTTAAACAATACAAGACTAAAAGATGGTAAAATATTAAGAGAATGTAGAAGAGTTTTACTGTCTCTATAAAAAATTATTTTATAGTTTCCCCTTGTCCTAACCTACTTCTAGAAATCGATTTTTCAAATTGTGATATAAAGACGATCTGATTTGAATTTTCTGTCAGGATGTTGAATACCATCCCCCACTTCAAATATGTTTACTCTGTCTGTCTTTACTGATGAATGGTTGTATGAGATTATCTTTCTCCTCATTATTCTCTACCTCCCCAAACTTAAATGAAGAAAATTCAAGGACTAAAGAAAACAATAGATAGACAGGTGATATTCTTTGTGAGAATCTGGGAATGTCATCAATTAAAATTGTATATGTTCCTTAAAACAGGTTCGTTTGTCAAGTTATTGCTGCCTTAGCAACCTAACTTGTCGATTTAGACCTTCTCGAAGAGCTGCTCAGCATTGACCTTATCAAAGTATAAATGCAGATGGATAATATGGGGATTATGGTGAATGTTTTGCAAAAACATGAAGAAAGGCTTGCTAAAATGAACTTGAAAAGTTGAACTTTGTTATAGAAGAGAATATTGGGATATTAAGTCTTGACTTACTATTTTTAAAGACATTACCTTTTCTTTATGAAAGAATGAAAGATAGGAAATACTAATGACAATATTTTAAATTTGTGTATGTGTGAATGATTTGTGGCTTTCTAAAATTTCTATGAAGAACTGTAAATTATTCAAAAAAAGATAGAAATTAAGGTACCATTTTATTAGATTACTATCAGTATTTTAAAACTAGAAGGAAAAAAGATTATCAGCAGAAATATTCAGAGGTGGAACAGAAATAAGTTAGAGATCATATTTGGTTACTCCCATCCACTTGCCCTTTGTAAAGCGGGCTTCAGTGATGATGTTGAAAATTTGTGTTTTATGAAGAAACTCAAGAAGCAATAACTTGGAAAAGAATATTGAGTTTACTGCTCTTCTTTTAGATTTTGTTATGTTTTGTCTCAGTATCCATACCACTGAATATTGTTTAAAAGTACTTAAAGGAGACCTAGCCAAAACATTCTCAGATCAAATACTGATGTTTATTGTAAACAAAAAAAGCTGTTTGGGAAGAAACCTGTTTATTCCAGATTTTATTGGTACTTAAGGCAGCACATAAAACCTCTCAAATTCTTAAGAAACTTTCTAAGAAGATATAGTCATTTAAATATTTTTAAATCTATAACTGAGTTTTCCGATGTGACTTTTAACCTTTAATGAGTCCCTCGGCCAGGATTTCAGTGTCTCTATTCCTAAGGTATGATTAGCTTTCTATTCTCTGTGAAATCTGCTCCCTGAAGAGGAGCAGGATGGCAGTCCTGTTCATGGAATTCAGGAGAGAGAGATAGATATCTCCTATCTTCAAATATCGACATCATTTGGAATTACTGACAATTGTCTTTGTACTTACACAATGGAATTACTGTAAGAGATGTTATCTTGGGAATTTTAACAGAAAGCCTTGTTACTTTAAAATCTCCATGAATTTTATTATGCATTATTATGAAATTATTTCTGAATTACCTAGAGAAATTTAAAATTATTTCTGAATTACCCAGGGAAATTTGAAACAAGTCCTATGGGAATTCTCTGGTAAATCAGTTTTATTCTTCAGCTCAGGAGGGGCCTGGGGACTGGGTTGGGGAAGCTGAAGTATTGAAACAGCAGTCGCGTAAGTCATTCCCATGTAAGAAGTAGGACATTTAAAAACTGTTCTCTTTTTAAAAACCAAAAAACATCCATTGCCATGACAAACTGGTCTATGTATAAAACTCACATTGGAAAATCACTATGTCTTGATTGCATTCATCTACCCATAAGGGGTTTATAACTGAGATATAAATATTTCATTGAATTTTTAATAAAACCTTAACGTGCATGATATACAGACAGTACACTACTACTTGAAAGCCCTGACATATGAAAACTCCAGCAGTTTTGAGGTGAATCAATAAATTTCATGACTTTGTGTTATGAGGGTTTAGTATCATCTTGTCATTTACCATCCATTTCTCAAAAGAAGATAACTACAATTAGAGTCTTGGGCTATGTTTTTGGTAAGAAACCAAATATCTTTCAGACATATCACCTAAGCTGTCTGGAGTGGTTGTTATCCAATATGTCTCCAGACTGACAATTCTTTTTTAAAAAATTCAGTTTTGCTCAGATTAAAATCAGGGCAGTGGAATATGACATCTCCCTTTGGTATGTAATCAAACAAGATGCTAAATAGAGTCAGAAAATTACTCTATGAAGAACTAGAATTTCTGGTTACTCACAAGGCTATAATATGGCCAGATATTATGATACCAAGTGGCTAGATCCGCAGAGTTGCAAACTCTTTTAATTATGGAATGGGGGATGGAAAATCATAATGCTTCTTGTAACTTCTGTTGGAGGATTGTCTGTTGCTTAATTTATTTGTCTATAAAATGAGAGCCTTGAACTGGATTATTTTTGTTATTTTCTTGTTCCAAAATGCATTTTCCTTATGTTTGTTCATAAAAGCAATACATAACATTTAAACTGGAATAGGCTAGAAAAATTTCAAGTCTCTTGGGAGGTTCTATTTTATTTTCCCTCTTGGTAGGAAGGTCCTAATACAGTATAAACTCATGGGCCACAAGGAACAGGTAAGCCATAAGGTAATAGATGTTAATGTCCATTTCTTCATTATTCAAAATTAGAGATATTTTCTAGAATTCAGATTTTAGCTGATCTATCAGTAGACCCATATTATGTTTTAATGAGATTTCAAACACTTATATGTGATGCCCTGTACTCTGTAAATTGTATAACACTGCACAGTATTTCACAGAAAAATAAATTATTTACATACTTCATTTATTTTAACCTTACTTACTCAATGTGCTTAGTGTGCTTGCCTGGATATTCTTTTTTTTATATAAAAATCATGCTAAAAATGTAGCTAAATACCTAGGCTTTCAGTCATAGTTTTCTTTTTTCTTTCTTTGAGTATTTGGTATTAATTCTATAACGTCACCTTGAATTATATAATATGAAAAAATGCCTCTAGTATCTTGTGCCAAACTGCACTTAGTTTATACACCCTATTGACACCATTCTGGAGATTAACCAATATCTCTCACCAGGTTTTATGTGTTTTCCAGGAGCTTAAGTGTTGGACTGACTCTTAATCAACTTTTTTAAAATCAGTTTTTCAATGCTATATTTCTTAAGAGCCTTAAAATATTTTTTCAAGTTAAATTTACTTTTGTGTCATAAAATCTAAAGAATGACTGACACTTGAAGAAAGTAAACTGTCAGTGAAGAGGAAAGCAATCATCAGATTTGAATACTCTGATACTATCAATACAAATTTAATTTTAGATAATTTATTGCATTATTTAAAAAAGTGAGTATAAGCTTTTTTTTACTTGGGTACTCTACTTACCCTTTATTTGATCTAATTCATTGTGAACCTATTTAATGTAAGTCAGGAGGTGTTTTCCAGTGCTCTTGGGGAGAAAAAAAATCATCTTTTGCTGAAAAAATTTCAATTCTAACTTAATATTAATTATTCTTTAGAAGTAGGGCTATAAATCTAAATAACTGTCATATTTGGTTTTCCTTTGGACTTCTTTAAAATTTCAGTTTTTAAAAAATGTATTGAGGATATTCTCTCTGGGACAGAGAATATGATAGCAAACTTAAAATTGGTCTGATAGCCTCAGTTAAGTAGGGAAAAAATTAGCTTTTTAAAAATGCATTCTCAGGCCTAGAACATGGCCTGTCATTTCATAGGTATTAAAATGCATTAGACTATTGAATAAGTGGTTCTGCTGGAGGAATTGGATTCTTTTGGTTAAGACATGTGTTTCTGCATATATGCATAAAGCAGTGTTTTTGTGATTTTAGGTTTTTATTTTACTGACTATTCTTTGTATCTGACTATAAAGATGGGGCATATATGGACAGTGTTAAATACTTATTCTTGGATGATAAACTTGCATTATCATGGACATAACTAAAATTTGGAGCTTCCAGACAGTAATTCTCAAGGTGAGGTTGTGTGTCACAATCATTCTGTCTTAATGCTACAATAGCTATACCACTCTAACTGACAAACTGATCGTTTGTGTTATACTCAGCTGTGTTTGTCAGGACAAGAGATTAAATAATCATTATTGTGATTTTTCGTCCCTGGGAAACAAATAAAATAGATGACCAGTGAGAGTGGATTGTTGTGCTAATTAGGAAGCTAGGCGAGTCAATGATCCCTTCTAATAAGGGAAACAGCAAAGATGACCAAGCCTATATTCAGAAGCACTAAAACTGGCAGCTAGACAAAAAAGATTTCACAGTCAGAGTAAGGTACACTAATCATTCTAAAGGGATGGGAATTTTGTTGAGAATAGAAGGAGAAAGCTCATTTAAGAACTTGCAGGAAGAGGGATAAAGGGAGGAGGTAGGTAAAACTAACATAGTTTCTAAGGGTGGTCATTGTTTGGAGGCCAGTTTAGTGGTTAATACTTGTCATTTGGGTTTCTCTCCTCTACTTCCTTTACCTGTCTTGAGAAAAGAGGCCAAGCAGTGGGGAGAGAGAAAAATGTAAGCACTCAGTGATGTGAATGTTTTCTCCTTACTTTACTGAGGTATGACTGACCAAACAAACAAAAAAAAGTACAACTTGATGTAATGATATACATAGATGTGAAATAATGACTATAATCAAGCTAATTTACATACCGATTACCTCACATAGTTAGCATTTTCTTTTTTTCTTTCCTTTTTTTTATGATGAGAACACTTAAAATATACCATCTTAACAAATTTCAAGTATATAATACAGTATTGTTAACTATAGACATGTTGCTTTACAATAGACCTTCAGGACTTATTCATCTTGCAGAACTGAAACTTTCTTTTAACCGTCTCCCCTTTTCATCTCACCCTCCAGCCACTGGCAACCACCATTCTACTTTCTGCTTCTGTGATTCCATTTTATATTCCACATATAAGTGAGATCATGTGCTATTTTTCTTTCTGTGTCTGCCTAAACTCATTTATCATAATATGCTCCAGTTTCATATGTGTTATAGTTGAAAATGGCAGGATTTTTTTCTTTTTTAAGGCTGAATGATATTCATATTTCAAATGAGCAAAGTACCTGAATAGACATTGTGCTGTGTGTGCCTGTTTTATGCCAGCACCATAATGTTTTGATTACTGTATCTTTGTACAGTACATACCAACATTTATTTATTCATTTATTCATCAGCAAACATTTAGGTTGTTTCATATCTCGGCTATTATGAATAAATAATACTGCCATAAACAAGGGAGTCCTTTTCAATAGTGACTTAGTTTCCTGTGGATTTATATCCAAAATGGATTGCTGGATAATAGTAGTCTCGTCTTTAATCTTTTAAGGAACATCCATACTGTTTTCAAAAATGGTGGTACCAATTTACATTCCTACCAACAGTGTGCAACGGTTTCCTTTTCTCTACAACCTTGTCAACATTTGTCTTTTGAGTTTTTGATGGTAGTCATTCTAAGAGGTGTGAGATGGTAGCTCACTGTGGTTTTAACTTGCATTTCCCTAATTACTGGTGATGTTGAGCCTTTTTCCACATACCTGTTGGCCATGTGTATGTCTTCTTTGGAGAAATGTTTATTCAGGTCATTTTGGCCCATTTTTAAATAGGGTTATTTGTGGGATTTTATTTTGTTTTTGCTATTTATATGTATATGTTTCATATATATTTTGGATATTAAGCCCTTATCAGATATATGGCTCGCAAATATGTTCTCCCATTCCATAGGTTGCCTTTTCATTCTTTGATTGTTTCCTTTGCTGGGCAGAAGATTTTTACCGTGATGTGATCCAACTTTGTTTTTGCTTTTCTGGTCTATGTTTTTGGGGTCATACCCAAGAAGTCATTACTCAGACCAATGTACAATGGAAGAAGGTTTTCCCTATGTTTTCTTCCAGAAGTTTTACAGTTTCAGGTCTTAGATTTAAGCCTTTAATCCATGTTGAGCTGATTTTTGTATATGGTATGAGATACAGATCCTATTTCATTCTTCCACATGTAGATATCCAGTTTTTCCACATATTATTGAAGAGACTATCTTTTCCTCATTTTGTCTTCTTGGCTCCTTAGTTGAAAACCAGTTGGCCATAGATGAATGGATTTATTTCTGGACTGTCTATTCTGTTCCACTTGTCTATTTGTCTATTTAATGCCAATACTATGATGTTTTGATTACTGTAGCTTTGTAAACATTTTGAAATCAGGAAGTGTGATGGGCTTTTTCTCTAAGATATGGTACAAAGTAAAGGTGCCTGCTCATGCCACTTCTATTTAATATAGTACTAAAAGTTCAAGCTAGAGCAATCAGAGGAAAAGAAGAAATAAAAGGATGCAAATTGAAAATGGAGATGTAAAATTACCTCTGTCTGCAGATGACATGATCATATATGCAGAAAATTCTAAAGCCTTGCTGGGTGGGGTGGCTCATGTTTGTAATCACAACATTTTGGGAAGCTAAGGGAAGAGGAACACTTGAGACCAGGAAAATCAGCCAAGTGTGGTGGCACATGCTTGTAGCCCTAGCTTCTCAGGAAGCTGAGGTGGGAGAATGATTTGAGTCCAAGGGCTTGAGATTGCAGTGAGTTCTGATTGCTCCACTACACTCCAGCCTGGGTGACAGATTAAGACCCTGTTACCAAAAAACAAAAAAGAAAAGAAGAGAGAGAGAGAGAGAAAGAAAGAAAGAAAGAAAGAAAGAAAGAAAGAAAGAAAGAAAGAAAGAAAGAAAGAAAGAAAAGAAAGAAGGGAAGGAGGGAGGGAGGGAGGGAAGGAAGGAAGGAAGGAAGGAAGGAAGGAAGGAGGAAAGAAAGAAAGAAAGGAAAGAACGGAAGGAAGAAAGGAAGGAAGGAAGGGAAAATTCTAAAGACTCAACAAAAAATGTTTAAAATAATAAACAAATTTAGTAAAGTTGCAGGATACAATAAATATACAAAAATTACTGGTATTTCTATTCAAATAACAACCCAGCCTAAAAAGAAATTAAGAAAATAATCCTATTAGCCATGGCAACAAAAAGAATAAAATACTTAGGAATAAACTTAATTGTAGATGTGAAAGACTTGTACATTAAAAATTTTAAGACATTATGAAGGAAATTAAAGATACAAATAAATGGAAAGTCATGTGCATGGATTGAAAAAAATAAAATTTTAAAAAAGTTCATACTACTCAAAATGTTCTATAGATTCGCTGCAATCCCAATCAAAATTTCAACAGTATTACTTACAGAAATAGAAAAAAAATCCTAAAACTCATATGGATCCAAGAGAAGACCATGAATAACCAAGGCAATCTTGAGCAAGAGGTGACTTTTCACCTCTTCTTCCTACTCTGTTGTTCTGGTTTTGTACCTTGAGGCTCTGCCCAGGCCCTAGTTTGCACGCATGTTACTCTGTGTATGTGTATGTGTGTGTGTGGTTGGTTGGTCTACATTCTTCACAGACTGTAAGTTGACTAGAGTAGGGGAAAATCTATTTATGCAACAGTATATAGGCACCCAGACTAGTGTTGCACATGGTAGAGTATGACATTAAAGGACACAGGTGGTGGAACCAGACCTCCTGAGTTGCCTCTGGTTCTGCCATCCATTGGTCTTCTGAACTTGGGCATCTCATATCTGTCTCAGTATTGATGAGACACTGAGTATCTTAATAATACTCTGATGTTAAATGAAGATAATAATAATTCTTACTTTGCAGGGTTGTTTTGAGAGTTTACTTAAACATGCGAAGCTCTTACCTGACATATAGTAAGGATTCATTTTTGCTATTATTATTATTCTTACTGGTGGCAGTGGCACCTAATACCTATTTAAGAAAGGATGGAAAGGTAAGAGTTTTCATAGAATTGTAAAAATTGAATAAAATAACAGCTAACAAAAAGTAGAAAGTGTTAATAATTAGCACCTACAAGGATATTCTGTGTTGAGAATAATTGTCAAAAATCTTTGCCTCTTTTGGTACTCACAGTGCTGGCAGAAGCCCATGGCTTTGCACACACTCTGCCTTCTGTCTCTAATACACCTAAATACTCCTTCTTTCTGACAACCACTCAAAAATACCTCAACAGCCATATTAAATATCGTTATCTTACAACTTCACCCCAGTCCCTTCATCCACTCTCAATATATTCTCCTTATCATGCTATGCTACAGGTTTTCTAATGGTAATACGTAGAATACTCATGTGAGATTGTAACTAGTGTTTCCTTTTTTTAAAGTTTTCCATTTGCAAATTTGGGAGACTGAACTTGACTCCTGGAATTGCAGGACTTCTTGGTGTATTTACTGTATTTATGTATTTGAGAATTTTAAGAAAAATAATAATAGGCATATTTCTTAAATTTACTTAAACCTGTAGCCATTTTTAATTTTTGAGAGCACATTTTAATATTACTTGGACAAGTGAGAAAATATGAATTATTAATTATTATGTAATCAATCATTTAATTATTATGTAATCAACACTTAATTACACGATTTTTGATGTTCTGAAATGAAAATAACCTGTTTTTGTACCTCTTTGTATTCTATTGCCCAAGTAATGTATAGAATTTTGAGAACACTTTATTCAATAATCATTGAATATTAATTATATACTAGACCAAATACAAGTCTCTAGGGATACAAAGATAAATAAGATATAAGTTGAGCTTGTTTTCTAGGGCAATGCTTCTCAAACTTTAGTTTTCAAAAGGTATGCATTGTTGTATTACTGACTTCTAGAACTACTTTGGAAAGACTTAGTAGATTTGTTAGAAGGCAGTCTTTTCTGGGGAATTTGTGGTCCTTTCCATGAAAATGATACTAGTGTAGTAATTAAGGCTGTTTTAGTTACACATAACAAAAAAGTCTACTCAATTAAGCAAAACCAGAAAATTTTACCCAAGAAGATTGAAAAGTCTAGGCATGGCTAGATCAAAGTCCTAAAGTAATATGGTCAGGAAACCATCTCTTACCATCTGTTGACTATTTCCTCTTTGTTGGCTTGGTTCTTAGGTAGGTTTTCCTGTTCTAGAAGCCCTAAATAGCTTTAGGTATTATTCTCACAGCTGAGCATCAAAAGAGTCAAAAGAGCAAAGACACTTTTCTTTTTTTTTTTTTTTTTTTTGAGACATAGTCTCACTCTGTCACCAGGCTGGAGTGCAGTACCGCAATCTCTGCTCACTGCAACTCCACCTCCCAGGTTCAAGCGATTCTCCTGCCTCAAGCCTCCTGAGTAGCTGGGACTACAGGTGTGCGCCACCATGCCCAGCTAATTTTTTGTATTTTTAGTAGAAACGGGGTTTCACCATTTTGGCCAGGAAGGTCTCAATGTCTTGACTTCGTGATCCGCCCGCCTCGGCCTCCCAAAGTGCTGGGATTACAGATGTGAGCCACCTAGCCTGGCTGGAAAGAGGCTATTCTTTTCCAGTGGTTTTCAATCCAAGTTTTAGAATTTTCATTAACCTGGTTTTGGGCACAAGCCTACCTGTGAAAGTGTTTGGTAGCTTTAAGCTTACCTCAACTGCATAGACTTAGGATGAAGGAGTGGTGAATTTCCAAGAAAAAATCAGGTTACTAATCCTCCCCATCCCACCACCAATTCAAAATAAAAACAAAAACAATAAAAAGAAATGAAATGAAAAGAAATAAAGGGATAAATAAATGCCAAGTTGGCAAAATCTACTCGAATTCATGTTAGCTGTTACATTAGATGAATTTTTGAATTAAATCCAGATATGATAATAAATATTCTAAGATATATTTTGTATATGCATGAGAGGAAGAGTAATTTAAATGTTTTTCAAACACAGATAATATTTTGTCTTTTTCATTCCTTACATGATTTCTGTGTCAAGACCAAGATAGTAATTATATATTTGCATATGATTTTGTTTTTTATTTCACATAATATTTCTATGTGAAGTGAAGAATTACAATTTATATCCAAATTTTATAATGGACCAGATTTTAAGAGAAGAGAAACTAAGTGACCCCCCAAAACACTACTGGCCTGTATTTGTACTATATTTATTCACCTGTAGGGAAATCGTTACCAACTACTAAAGAAATTATCATTTTTGTTCCACTTTACTGAAGACAATATCAGAAATAAAATGGTAATATAATGAAATATACATTCCTACCTGAACAGCACATACAGACAAATAGGCACTGACCCAATGAATAAATTAAAAAACATTCTCCATCCTTTCCTTTATTTGATTTCGGCAACTACCTACTTGTTCAAGTGGTACTAGCAATTATATAATGAATTCCAGTTTTTGGAGTATCATAAATCTATTACAGTAGAAATGAGATGTTTCTACACTTAAACACACATATCTATGGGAAGACCTGATCCATGAAAGATGTAACTTACACTTGCTAGAACTTGATTACAATGTTGGATAAAGTGAAAAATCTAGGTTTAGTTTATTTTTGCAATTAAAAACTGCTGTCTTTGCTAAACTATTATGCACCTATTTCTGATGGAAAATGACAAAACAGCACACAAAATAGTTAAACACATCTTCCTTCTAGAACTACTGCCAAATCGTGTCCCATTTCTTTCATAAGGTTTGCTTGAAAATGCTACAAATGCCAAGTGCTGAATGTACAGAAAATATTTCTATTGTTGCTCTCACTGTATTAGTTTACAACTTTTTCCCTGAAGGATTGTGGTTGTGTTGTTCCTGGGAGGAGCCGACTGTCATTAAAGTAGTGGGAAATAACATTAGGAATCAAATATTTGCTTAGACATAGAAAAGGCATCTAAAAACAAAGTTTTTACTTTTAAAATGAAACAGCTTAGAGTACGTTCAAATTTGCAAAGGAAAGTTAAAAAATTATAGTAAGTTATGTGGTCGAGGAAACAAAATCTATCATTGCTTCTGCTGATGCTTTGAAAATCCACCAAATTGAGAAGTATTAAATGAACAGAGAGACAGAAAGACAGAGACAGAAGGGAGAAAGAGGTAGAGGGAAGGCTTGTAGTAAAAAATGCCTTATATTTCAATTAAAAGGCTCTCTTCAAGGTCTGACTGAGATTACTTTAGCATTTTCCTCATATTTCAACACCCGATTCTCAGTCTTGCTGCCTTAGGATTTTGTCAATGCCCTGGAGTTCATGGTATTCAGAATGAGTTATAATTAATACACACAATAGTTCTGCCACTACCACAAAATAGCAATAAAAAAACAGAAGACTAGTCCAATAATTTACATTTAAATATACACATCATACCCACTCCGTCTCTCACCATTCATCCCATGGTTCATTGTGTCTCAATCCTACCATCATGAGTTTCTTCACTGAATGTTACTTGTTTCCTCTTTGACCACTAATATCTCATTCAAAACTCTTTCTGACACAATCTTTTCTCTTTTCTCCTCCCAGTTAACTGTTTACTCATTCCTTAGGTTATAGTTTAGATGTCATATCCTTGAAAGAATATTGCCACTCTTCCCACAAACAAACAAATCACACAAAATCTGGCTTACTGTCTCTGGCTTGTTTTTGTGAACCTTCTGATCTATCACAGTAAGTTGTGCCTGTCACACTATATCGTAATTGCTTCTTTAATTAACTGATTCCCACACAAAATTGGAAGCTTTGTGAGAGAAGTTTACTCATTATATTCACTTGCGTATTTCTAGCAACTAATGTGGCAAATACAAAACCGTTAAAGGAAGTAGTAAATGCACATAATTTAGGGAAACTTCTAAGTATGAAGTGGATTATTCACTGAATTCATTAAATTGGGAGGTAAAACTAAGTCTTTTTTGGACTCATAAGAGGACCAACTGGAATTTAGGTTGTTTTAACTGTTACTGAATTTCAAGAATATCCTGATCTTCCCATTTATCCCAGCTTGTTGGTAAAGGAAAATGTGAGGAACCTAGAATTCCATAGGATGACTTTTAAGTTGCGTGCTCTGCTGCTCTTCTCCTTTTGATTTCCTGGCTCCTTGGTAAGGATTTTCTCCACCTTATGTTTATGATTATTTCATGATATTTTTACTTTGGTATTCATCTTTTGGCTTCTTTTTTGGAACTCATATTCTTAAGTAAAGGCTGTCTTGACAACAATGACAACCTGCTCCACCCCCTAAGCTTGGGCTTGATAGAACCAAAGGGATGGTACCATCTCTGAACCAGTCTTCCTCATTTGGAAAGGAGTTTGCCTGCTTTTCTTATTGTAACAGGGAGGTATTTTTATTAGATTATTTTTTAATGGTGCTTCCAAACTGTGATTTCACAATTCTCAGCATTCAACTGATGGGATAACACAGGAGCACCTTTAAGAAATAACTTATGTGATTATTTTTTCTGTTTCTATTATTTGGAGTGAGACTCTTAAGGATTCACAATTTCACTTTCCATTCCTAAGGATGGAAGTTTGTACTTGCTCTGTTTTAGATATTCAGAGAAATACTATCCCTTCATACAGACAATGAGAGTTGAAACTAACACATTGCCTTCTTTGTTACTGGTAAATGAAATAGAACTGAAGAAGCCTGAATTTTGTCCTAAACCAAAGAAAAAATAAATAGATTAACAAATATTTTAATTTGTAGATTATTTTGGACTATTAAAGAGGATCATAAAAACAGTGGTAGTGCAATGATAGCTTTAAAAAATGCCACCTATCAAATCAGTATCATGTTTGATAATAGATGAGAATGAAAGGAATGCATTTGCTGATTAAAATTACATTATTATTTAGCTTTTACGTAACACATTGGAATAATACGGGTAACCTTAAAGGTGGAGGAACTCGGATTACAGGGAGTCATTAGAATGTATATATGCAGGAGGTTTGCTAGGTTGGGAGCATTAACTCCATCAGACCACTGGGTA